>NW_003571054.1:0-154896 GCF_000001405.40 Homo sapiens | reverse complement strand
TGTTGCTAAGGAAGCCAAACCTCCCCCTGGAAACTATGGGTTGACCCTTGTTGCCAGAGAGGCTCCACCCCCCGGCACCTGCATTGCTAGGCAAGTCGCACGGCCATAGCTGTGGACTCTCTTGTGGCTGAGGAAGTATTGCCCCCGTGTTGCTAGGGAGATGGCACCCCCGGCAACCAGGAGTAGACTGCCCTTGTGTTCCTGACAGCTGCAGTCAGCCTTCCCCCAGGGGCTTGGACTGCGGCTGGGGGAACAGCCTGTTGATGTAAATGATGAACTACTACTCCCTGCTAGGGTTGTCCCCTAGTCGTCACAAACTGCCATTCTGTTGTGGGGGTAGTGACACCCCCACGGGAATTTGTTA
This sequence comes from Homo sapiens, assembly GCF_000001405.40. Classification (NCBI taxonomy): domain Eukaryota; kingdom Metazoa; phylum Chordata; class Mammalia; order Primates; family Hominidae; genus Homo; species Homo sapiens. Next base: position 154,532 of record NW_003571054.1, on the reverse strand, counting down.
CCACTGCCCTAATAACCGTGCCCTGACCTCCAGCTGCTAGAGAGAGGATGTCCCCCTAGTAAAGCCAAGCAGGAATTGAAGGTTTTTCTAAATCTGCTCGGTCCTCACTCCTAAAGGATGGCTCCCCTCCTGTCATCAGAGGCCACCAAGGCTTCATATGGGCCAGTGTTTCCCACTGCTGGGGCTGTCGACATGAGTGATGAGGGAGCCACTGTATTGCTAGAGGTGACACTTCTCCAATAATCACTGCGACCAGGAAAAAAGCCCCTTCCTAAAAGCCTTTCTAAACATCCTAGGCATTGTTGCTAAGGAATGCCTTTTCCTTAGCAACAAAGATCATGGGGACCCCACTGGCGCCTGGAACATCTCCCTAGCAACCGTGAAGCACCTTGTTATTAGGGATGATAACCACAACTTCCCTGGCAACTGCAGTGTCCGACAATTTAGAAGGGACCATCCTTGGCGGCTTCTCTGAATATACTGAGCTTGGTTGCTAAAGGACTCATAGCTTAGCAACCATAGCCCTTCAAGGCTTTTCATGGCTGTGGCGGGCCCCATTAGGTACCAAAAGAAGAAGAACCCCATTGTCAGTGAACTGTACCACCCAGCCCACCCACCTTCCTACCCTACAGGCACCCTCTGGGCCACCCTCCCTTGCTGCCCTAGCAAGTCTGACAGCCAGAGGGCCATTGCCTGGCCAGGATCCCTTCCTTAGCATCCGGGGCTGGGACACTAGCAGGCGTCGGGAGGGGGCCTGGCTGAGCTGCATGTCTGTCCCCCACCCTCATCCTCCACCCCCCAGTCCGGAGAAGGCGGCTTCCTTGGAGTATGACTATGAGACCATCCGCAACATCGACTGCTACAGCACAGATTTCTGCGTGCGGGTGCGCGATGGCATGCGGTACTGGAACATGACGGTGCAGTGGTGGCTGGCGCAGTATATCTACAAGAGCGCACCTGCCCGTTCCTATGTCCTGCGGTGAGTGAGCCCGCCCAGTCTCAGGTGACACTGCAGAACTACATCTCCCAGCAGGCCCCAGGGTAGCCTGCAGCGTCCCTGGCTGGGCCCCTGCCCCCGGAGGCTCATGGGAATTGTAGTTTGTTTAGCCTGGTTTTGCCCTGCCTCTAATTATAGTGGCAGCATGCCGGTGTAAAATCGTTCCCCCTCTCGGGGCCTCAGTTGCTACTTCTGTAAAGTCAGCCTCACTCAGCAGAAGCAATGTACTGAGTCCTGTGGACTCAATAGCCAGCCTTCCTGGAATCTTGGCCGTCCAGGTTATGGAGAAACCTTGAGGAGTTAGTTGACCTCTTAGTTGCCTCAAGTGTTGAATGGAGTGAATGCTATTTATTACTGGTTTCATAGGTAGATAGAAGGACTAAATGTGATAAAATGTGAAATGTATTTAATGTGAGGCCTGACAGGTAAGTGCGTGCTGTGTATTCATTTTTATTGTTTTTCATTCTTCCAATATTTCTCGAGTGGAGACTCTGTGCTTGACACTGTTATCTGTGCAGCCTTTAGAAGCAGAAACTCAGCCGGGTGCGGCAGCTCACGCCTGGAATCCCAGCACTTTGGGAGGCCCAAGCAGGTGGATCATGAGGTCAGGAGTTCGAGACCAGCCTGACCAACATGGTGACATGCTGTCTCTACTAAAAATACAAAAAATTACCCTGGTGTGGTGGTGGGCGCCTGTAGTCCCAGCTACTCGGGAGGCTGAGGCAGGAGAATGGCTTGAACCCGGGAGGCAGAGGTTGCAGGGAGCTGGGATCTCGCCACTGCACTCCAGCCTGGGCGACAGCGAGACTCCGTCTCAAAAAAAAAAAAAAAAAAAAAAAAAAAAAAAAAACAGAAGTAGAACTCATAGCCAGGCATGGTGGCTCACACTTGTAATCCCAGCAGTTTGGGAGGCCCAGGCAGGTGGATCATCTTGAGGTCAGGGCAATATGGTGAAGACCAGCCTGGGCAATATGGAGAAACCCCTTCTCTACTAAAAATACAAAAAATTAGCTAGGCATGGTGGCGGGCGCCTATAATCCCAGCTACTAGGGAGGCTGAGGCAAGAGAATCACTTGAACCCGGGAGGCGGAGGTTGCGGTGAGCCAAGGTCACCTGGGCAACAGAGAGAGACTTTGTCTCAAAATAAAATAAAATAGGCCGGGCACGGTGGCTCATGCCTATAATCCCAGCAATTTGGGAGGCCAAGGTGGGTGGGTCACAAGGTCAGGAGATCAAGACCATCCTGGCTAACACGGTGAAACCCTGTCTCTACTAAAAATACAAAAAATTAGCCGGGTGTGGCGGCGGGTGCATGTAGTCCCAGCTACTGGGGAGGCTGAGGCAGGAGAATGGTGTGAACCCGGGAGACGGAGCTTGCAGTGAGCCGAGATCGCGCCACTGCACTCCAGCCTGGGCAACAGAGCGAGACTCTGTCTCAAAAACAAACAAACAAAAAAACACAAAAAACAAACAAAAATAATTATTAATTTAATTTAATTTAATTAGATAAATGTGGAAGGGGAAGACCCAGGAAGGGTAAGTTTTGGGAGTAAGAAGGATATTATTATTAGTATTAGTATTAGTATTAGTATTAGTATTAGTATTAGTATTTTGATGCTCTGTCACCCAGGATGGAGTGCAGTGTTGTGATCTCAGCTCACTGCAACCTCCATCTCCTGGGTTCAAGTGATTCTCGTGCCAAGAGTAGACGCAGGGTTTCACCATGTTGGCCAGGCTGGTCTCGAACTCTTGGCCTCAAGTGATCCGCGTGCCTCGGCCTCCCAACGTGCTGGGATTACAGGCGTGAGTCACCATGCCCGGCCAAAATTTTTTAAGTATTATTATTATTTTTTTTTTACTTTTTAAAAAATGTATAGAGATGAGGTCTCACTGTGTTGACCAGGCTGGTCTCAAACTCCTGGCCCCAAGCAGTCCTCCCATCTCAGCCTCCCAAAGTGCTGAGATTACAAGCATGAGCCACTGCATCTGGCCAGGTATAGATGACGCTTAAAGCTCTGGGGCTGAGGCCAGGTCAAAGCACCCCAGTGTTTAGACAAGTGCTTCTCAACTGGGGGCAACTGTGCTGCTGCTGCACCCCCAGGAGACACATGGCAATCCCTGGAGACATGTTGTTGTAACTGGAAGGTGCTAGTCGGATGTCGTGGGTGGGGGCCAGGGATGCTCCTAAACACCTTAAAATGCACAGGATCCATCGTTTTTGTTTATTTTACAGCTCAAGTGCAGTGGCGTGATCTCGGCTCACTGCAACCTCTCCCTCCCAGGTTCAAGCAATCCTCCTGTCTCAGCCCCCCTAGTAGCTGGGATTATAGGCACGTGCTACCATGACAGACTAATCTTTGTATTTTTAGCCTCCCAAAGTGCTGGGATTACAGGTGCCAGCCATTGCACCCAGCCTCCGCACTCTTGAAGAACCAGAAAGCCAATGGTCCTCCCTTCTCAAGAAAACAAGAGTTGGCCAGGTGCAATGGCTGACATCTGTAATTCCAGTATTTTGGGAGGCCAAGGTGAGAGGATCACTTAAGCTCAGGAGTTCGAGACCAGCCAGGTCAACATAGCAAGACTCCATCTTTACAAAGAAAAAAAAAGAGGCTGGGCGCGGTGGCTCAGACCTGTAATCCCAGCACTTTGGGAGGCCAAGGTGGGTGGATCACAAGGTCAGGAGATCGAGACCATCCTGGCCAACGTGGTGAAACCCCATCTCTACTAAAAATACAAAAATGGCTGGGTGCAGTGGCTCACGCCTGTAATCCCAGCACTTTGGTAGGCCACGGCGGGTGGATCACAAGGTCAAGAGATTGAGAGCATCCTGGCCAACATGGTGAAACCCCGTCTTTACCAGAAATACAAAAATTAGCCTGGCATGGTGGTGGGCACCTGTAGTCCCAGCTGCTCGGGAGGCTGAGGCAGGAGAATCACTTGAACCCGGGAGGCAGAGGTTGCAGTGAGCCGAGATTGCGCCACTGCACTCCAGCATGGGCGGCAGAGCGAGACTCCGTCTGAACAACAACAACAAAAAATACAGAAATTAGCTGAGTTTGGTGGCGCTTGCCTGTAATCCCAGCTACTTGGGAGGCTGAGGCATAAGAATCGCTTGAATCCAAGAGGCAGAGGCTGCAGTGAGCCTTGTCGTGTGGCAACAGAGCGAGACTCTGTCTCCAAAAAAATAAAAAGAGTGAGGAAAGATGGTGCTGGGCCTTGGAGGAAGAGGAACATATCTCCTGGGCCCAGAATAAGGAAGGACCACAGGCCAGGGACTTCTGGATCTTCATGAGCCAGGCAGGAGTTGTCAAATGTTAACAGGCATCAGAGTCACTGGAGGACTTGTTAACTTGGAAGACTTCTCCTGGGCCCCACCCCCAGGGCTTCTGGTGCAAAAGGGGTGGGGACAAGGATTTGTATGTCTCACAAGTTCTCAGGTGATGCTGATGCCAGACCTGGGACCCCAGGTTAAGAACCACCGGGCTGCCCGGGTGTGGTGTCTGACACCTGTGATCCCAGCACTTTGGGAGGCCAAGGCGGGCAGATCACGAGGTCAGGAGATCGAGACCATCCTGGCTAACACAGTGAAACCCCGTCTCTACTAAAAATAGAAAAGAAAATTAGCCGGGCGTGGTGGCGGGCGCCTGTAGTCCCAGCTACTCGGGAGGCTGAGGCAGGAGAATGGCGTGAACCTGGGAGGCGGAGCTTGCAGTGAGCCAAGATCGCGCCACTGCACTCTAGCCTGGGCGACAGAGCGAGACTCTGTCTCAAAAAAAAAAAAAAAAAAACCACTGGGCTGAAGAATTAAGACTTGTTGGTCCTGGGAGAGGAAGGGCAGTGGAATATAAAATGTTAAATCTTTAAAGAAGAAGAGGGTCTTGATAGGACTGAGTGTGTATGGAAGGCTGCGAGCTCCTGGATCCCTGAAGGAGACAGAGGCCTGTAGCCTCCTCCGCCTTCCGGAGCTAGGGTCATGGGTCTGAGTGGGGAGGGCCTGGGGCCTGGTCTCCTGGATCTGAGGGAGGAGGGAGGTGGGGTCTGGTCTCCTGGATCTGAGGGAGGAGGGAAGTGGGGTCTGGACTCCTGGATCTGAGGGAGGAGGGAGGTGGGGTCTGGTCTCCTGGGTCTGAGGGAGGAGGGACTGGGGCCTGATCTCCTGGGTCTGAGGGAGGAAGGGGTGGGGTCTGGACTCCTGGGTCTGAGGGAGGAGGGGCTGGGCCTGCACTTCTCGGTCTGAGGGAGGAGGGGCTGGGGTCCTGGACTCCTGGATCTGGGGGCAGTGGGCACTGGGGACCTGGACTCGTAGGTCCTGACTCCCAGCCTCCTCCTCAGGAGCGCCTGGACCATGCTGCTGAGCGCCTACTGGCACGGCCTCCACCCGGGCTACTACCTGAGCTTCCTGACCATCCCGCTGTGCCTGGCTGCCGAGGGCCGGCTGGAGTCAGCCCTGCGGGGGCGGCTGAGCCCAGGGGGCCAGAAGGCCTGGGACTGGGTGCACTGGTTCCTGAAGATGCGCGCCTATGACTACATGTGCATGGGCTTCGTGCTGCTCTCCTTGGCTGACACCCTTCGGTACTGGGCCTCCATCTACTTCTGTATCCACTTCCTGGCCCTGGCAGCCCTGGGGCTGGGGCTGGCTTTAGGTGGGGGCAGCCCCAGCCGGCGGAAGGCAGCATCCCAGCCCACCAGCCTTGCCCCGGAGAAGCTCCGGGAGGAGTAAGCTGTCACGACGCTCCCTCTGCCAGCTGGTCCCGGGAATTCTGTGAACCAGGCTGCTGTCTCCTCCCCAGAAAGAGTCCTTACCTTGGAGAGGGTCCTGGAGAGAATTTCCTCTTCCCCAGCTAAATACCCTGCCTGCAACTGAAGCAGACCCGGGGGTGTCCTCCCTGCCCTCTGCCCAGAGGCCACCTCCACTCCTACAAAATCAAAGTATTGTCCAGACAAGAGTCACTGGCCCCTGCTCCAGCTTCTGGGTATCCAGAGAGCACTGCACTTCCCCAAAACGGAAGGGGCCCCTGGGCAGTGGGTTTTGGGCAAATTCCCTTTCTTTGCATCCACAATGTGGGGTCGGAGCTTGGGGGCAGGTCCTGGGAGTGGGAAGCCTCTTCCTTGTGTCTTTCGCTCCACTTTTAGCTCATCGCACCAATATTGCAGACTTGGAAGGAAGCATAAGCTTCCCATTTCACAAAGGGGAAACTGAGGTGCGGGTGCGCGGGCCTGGGGACGGCCGTCCCATGGCTTCCATCTGAGCCACCTCGGGACCCCAGCACTCCTGGCGCCCTCTTCTCATAGCTTGGCCTATGACAGGTCACCGTGTGTAAATCTTTCCCAATAAAGTGTTGCACAAAGGCATCGTGTCCGTGCAGGTATCTGGGTGATAAACGGTGGGAAGGACTTAGTCCACCAAGTCCCAGGGTGAGGTACAGCCCCCCCGCCCAGCCCAGGAACCAAACTGTGAGGCCCGGGGCACCACGGGGACTTCAGCTCCCAGGAGACCTTTCGCATCAGCGGCCCTGAGAAACCACAGGAAGTGTACCTTACTCCCTCCGGGCCACCTGCTGGCCAGGTACACACCTGCCCCTGGCCCCTCCCTTACCTGGGGCAGTGTCTGCCTGGTGGCCACTAGAGACAGCCCAGCCTGGGGCCATGGAAGAAAACCCGACCTTGGAATCAGAAGCCTGGGGCTCCTCTAGGGAGTGGCTGGCCCCCCGGGAGGCCAGAGGAGGTAGGGAATGCCAGGAGAAGCTCAGATCCATCCGACCTTCAGGCTAGGTGGGAGTCCTGCTGGAGGAGGAAAGGGGAGGCCTGGCCTCCTGAGTCTGAGGGCTAAAGAGAGAAGGTTCCACTTCCTGATATTATGGGGGAGAAGGGAACTGGAGGCTGGAACTCCAGGGTCTGAGGAGGAGGAGCCTGGAGAACCAGGCTAGTCTGGGAGGAGGGGAGGGCTAAGGGCTGGGAGTTTGGGTGTCTTGGGAATAGGAGAGGCTGGGTTCCCACACTCCTGAGCTAGAGGGAAAAGGAAGTTAAAGCCTGGACTCCACTGCCCTGGAGTAGGAGGGTTCCACGCTTGGGGATGGAGTTGAGGGCTGTGGACCCCTGGGTCCAGGGGAAGTAGAGGCTGGCACCCGGACTCCTGGGCCTGAGGGAGGAGGGGCTGGGAACCTGGTTTCCTGGTCTGAGGGAGGAGGGGCTGGGTGCCTGGATTCCTATGTCTGAGGGAGGAGGAGCCGGGGGCCTGGACTCCTGGGTCTGAGGGAGGAGGGGCCGGGGGCCTGTTCTCCTGGGTCTGAGGGAGGAGGAGCCGGGGGCCTGGACTCCTGGGTCTGAGGGAGGAGGGGCCGGGGGCCTGTTCTCCTGGGTCTGAGGGAGGAGGAGCCGGGGGCCTGGACTCCTGGGTCTGAGGGAGGAGGAGCCGGGGGCCTGGACTCCTGGGTCTGAGGGAGGAGGAGCCGGGGGCCTGGACTCCTGGGTCTGAGGGAGGAGGAGCCGGGGGCCTGGACTCCTGGGTCTGAGGGAGGAGGAGCCGGGGGCCTGGACTCCTGGGTCTGAGGGAGGAGGGGCCGGGGACCTGGTTTCCTGGTCTGAGGGAGGAGGAATTAGGGCCCAGACTCCCGGGTCTTCCCAGCCCCCTGCTCCTCCCCAGGCCCATCGCTGTCTTCTGTGCTGAACGAGCTGCCCAGTGCTGCCACCCTTCGGTACCGAGACCCTGGGGTGCTGCCTTGGGGGGCGCTGGAGGAGGAGGAGGAGGATGGAGGAAGGAGCAGAAAGGCCTTCACAGAAGTCACCCAGACAGAGCTGCAGGACCCTCACCCTTCCCGGGAACTGCCCTGGCCCATGCAGGCCAGACGGGCATACAGGTGAGGCCCCACCTCCAGCTGGGACCCGCACAGCCCGGACCGGGCCCTTCTCCCATACCCTGGACTCGGTCTCCTCCCTCTGTCCTCTGCCGCTCCTGGCTTCTGGGGCCTCTCTCTGCCCCGCTCAGAGCTGCCTCTCTTGGTTTCTTTCTTCCCCTCATCTTTGTCTCTACTTCGGACTCCAGGTGAGTGCTGCCTTTCGATGGCTCTGGGGTCTCTTCTCTCTGGGATTTGCCGTCTCCCTGGTCTCCACCAATCCTGTCTCTGCCTCAGTTTCTCTCTGTGTGTGTGTCCAAAATCTGTTAATATTTATTTCTCTCTGCTTTATACCTTCCTTCATCTTTGCCTCCTCTTCCAAGCCTCCCTCTCTTTAACTTCTTTCTTTTCCCATTCTCACTGCATAATTTGCAGGGCCTGGTGAACAATGAAAATGCAGGTGCCCTCCTTCAAAAATGATTATGGGCCCATTGCAGTGGCTCACACCTGTAATCCCAGCACTTTGGGAGGCCCAGGCGAGTGGATCACCTGTGGTCAGGAGTTCGAGACCAGCCTGGCCAACATGGCAAAACCCCAACTCTACTAAAAATACAAACATTAGCTGGGTGTGGTGGCGGGTGCCTGTAATCCCAGCTACTCGGGAGGCTGAAGCAGGAGAATCGCTTGAACCAGGGAGATAGAGGTTGCAGTGAGCCAAGATCGTGCCATTGGACTCCGGCCTGGGTGATAGAGCGGGACTCCATCTCAAATATATATGCGTATATATATGCATATGTGTGTATATATATACACATATATATGTATATATATGTGTATATATATGGAAAAAACAATAAAAAATAACAATGTATCAACACTCCCACACCGATCAGTAGTGGGATCATGCCTGTGAATATAGCCACTATACTGCGGCCTGAGTAACATAGCGAGACCCCCATCTCTATTTTTTAAAAGTAATAATCAAAGTAACAATATGACAAAAAATAATACAAGTTAAAAGAACAGCTATCTATATAACATTTACCTTGTACCGGGTGTTATAAGTAATCTAGAGGTGATTTAAAGTGCATTGGAGGGCTGGGTGTCGTGGCCCATACCTGTAGCCCCAGCGCTTTGGGAGGCTGAGGTGGGAGAATTGCTTGAGCCTGGAAGTTTGAGGCTGCATTGAGCTATGATTGCACCACTGCACTCCAGCCTGGACAACAAAACGAGACATTTGTCTGTAAAAATCAGATAAAAATTAAAATAAAATAAAATAAACACAGGAGGATGTGTGTAGCCTGTATGCAAATACTATACCGTTTTATATAAGGAATTTGGGCATCTACAGATTTCAGTATTCTTGGGGAGTCCTTGAACCAACCCCCATGGATACTGAGGGATGGCTGTATTCATAAAGTGAGAGCCCAGATAAACTCCAGCTAGGGCAAGTGACACGGCATGACAGCACCCTGTGCGTCCCTCCCCTGACACCCCCTTTTTCCTCACAAATACAAGGTAACCTCTTCTCCCTAACCTTTTTTTTTTTTTTTGACAGAGTCTTGCTCTGATGCCCAGGCTGGAGTGCAGTGGTGCAGTCTCAGCTCACTGCAGCCTCCGACACCTGGGCTCAAGCGATCCTCCCACTCCAGCCTCCTGCTTTTCTGTAGAGCTTTGCAAGCTGTGCTCTGCAACGTTGTGCAAATAGAATCATACAGTCTTCAGTCTTTTGTGCTGGCTTCTTCTGCCTAGCATTAGGTTTCTTTCTTTTCTTTCTTTCTTTCCTTTCTTGGAATCTCACTCCGTCACCCAGGCTGGAATGCAATGGCGCCATCTCAGCTCACTGCAACCTCCACCTCCCAGGTTCAAGCAATTTTCCTGCCTCAGCCTCTCGTGTAGCTGGGATTACAGGCACCCGCCACCAGGCCCAGCTAATTTTTTTTTTTTTTTGGTATTTTTAGTAGAGACAGGATTTCACCATGTTGGTCAGGCTGGTCTCGAACTCCTGACCTCAGGTGATTCACCCACCTCGGCCTCCCAAAGTGCTGGGATTACAGGCCTGAGCCACTGTACCCAGCTGGTTTCTTTTTTATTGCTACAGAGTATTCTATCTTATGTATAGGCCACAATTTACTTCTCCATTCTACTGTTGGATTGTGTCTACATTCAGATGGTTCCCAGTCTGGGGCTGCGAAACCCCTCATTTTCTGCCTGTTTCCCTCCCAGGCAAAGAAATGCCAGCAGGGACCAGGTGGTCTATGGCTCTGGAACTAAGACGGACCGATGGGCGCGGCTACTTCGGAGGTCCAAGGAGAAAACAAAGGAAGGCTTGCGAAGCCTGCAGCCCTGGGCGTGGACACTGAAGAGGATCGGGGGTGCGGTGGGGTTTGGGTGGTGTCCTGGGGGCAGGGCCTGGACTCCTGGGTCTGAGGGAGGAGGGGCTGGGGACGGACTCCTGGGTTTGAGGGAGGAGGGGCTTGGGCCTGGATTTTTGGGTCTGAGGGAGGAGGGGCTGGGGGTCTGGACTCTTGGGTCTGAGAAAGGCACGGCTGGGCCTGGCGCGGTGGCTCACGCCTGTAATCCCAACAGTTTGGGAGGCCGAGGTGGGTGGATCACCTGAGGTCAAGAATTCGAGACCAGCCTGACCAACATGGTGAAACCCCCGTCTCTACCAAAAATACAAAAACTAGCTGAGCATGGTGGCGCACGCCTGTAATCCCAGCTACTCGTGAGGCTGAGACAGGAGAATTGCTTGAACCCAGGAGGCGGAGGTTGCAGTGAGCCGAGATCGCGCCACTGCACTCCATGCTGGGCGGCAGAGCGAAACTCCGTCTCAAAAAAAAAAAAAGAAAAGAAAAGAAAAGAAAAATATATATATAGAGAGAGAGAGAGAGAGAGAGAAAGAAAGGAAGGAAGGAAGGAAGGAAGGAAGGAAGGAAGGAAGGAAGGAAGGAAGGAAAAGAAAAAGAAAGAAAGAAAGAAAAGAAAGAAAGAAAGAAAGAAAGAAAGAAAGAAAGAAAGAAAGAAAGAAAGAAAGAAAGAAAAGAAAGAAAGAAAGAAAGAAAAGAAAGAAAAGAAAGAAAGAAAGGAAGGCGCGGCTGGACCCCAGTCCAGGGGTAGGAGGAGCTGGTCCTGCTCCCGGGAAGGAACCTGAGCCTCTCTCTGCTGCCCCCTGCAGGCCAGTTTGGCGCCGGCACGGAGTCCTACTTCTCCCTGCTGCGCTTCCTGCTCCTTCTTAACGTGCTGGCCTCTGTGCTCATGGCCTGCATGACGCTGCTGCCCACCTGGTTGGGAGGCGCTCCCCCAGGCCCTCCCGGCCCCGACATCTCCTCGCCCTGCGGCTCCTATAACCCCCACTCCCAGGGCCTGGTCACCTTTGCCACCCAGCTCTTCAACTTGCTCTCGGGTGAGGTAGGTGCCTGGGTCCCTGGGGGATTCCCCGCCCACCTGTGACCCCAGTGCCTTCAATGACACGAACCTCAAACCCTGACCCCAGACCCTGACTGTGCAGCTCCAGGAGCCCCGCCTCCTCCCACAGTGGCCCCTGCGCCGCCTTCCCCCCACAGGGTTACCTGGAATGGTCCCCTCTCTTCTATGGCTTCTACCCGCCCCGCCCACGCCTGGCGGTCACCTACCTGTGCTGGGCCTTTGCCGTTGGCCTCATCTGCCTCCTGCTCATCCTGCATCGGTCAGTGGCACCTGCACCCCTGACCCCTGACGGGACGGGTTGGGGTGGGGGAGCAAGTGGTGGTGGCAGAAACCCCCTCCCCAAGAATCCTCAGTCTTTTTTTTTTTGAGACGGAGTTTTGCTCTTATTGCCCAGGCTAGAGTGTAGTGGCGCAATCTCGGCTCACTGCAACCTCCGCCTTCCGGTTTCAAGCGATTCTCCTGCCTCAGCCTCCCAAGTTGCTGGGATTACAGGGGCCCGCCACCACGCCCAGCTAACTTTTTTGTATTTTTAGTAGAGATGGGGTTTCACCATGTTGGTCAGGCTGGTCTTGAACTGCTGACCTCGTGATCCACCCGCCTCGGCCTCCCACAGTGCTGGGATTACAGGCGTGAGCCACCGCGCCCGGCCCCAGAATCCTCGGTCTTGCTGTGTAACCCTTTATTCTGTGTGAGTTAAAATCAAGGTTTTGGGCCAGGAGCGGTGGCCCAGGAGGCGGAGCTTGCAGTGAGCCGAGTTTGCGCCACTGCACTCCAGCCTGGGCGACAGAGAGAAACTCCATCTAAAAAAAAAAAAAAGATCAAGGTTTTGGGATTTGTTTTTGTTTTTCATTTGTTTTGTTTGTTTGTTTTTGAGACAGAGTCTTACTCTGTCGCCCAGGCTGGAGTGCAATGGCACGATCTTGGCTCACTGCAACCTCCACCTCCCGGGTTCAAGCGATTCTACTGCCTCACCCTCCCAAGTAGCTGGGTTTACAGGCTCCGGCCACCACGCCCAGCTAATTTTTTGTATTTTTAGTAGAGACGGGGTATCGCCATGTTGGCCAGGCTGGTCTCGAACTCCTGATCTCAGGTGATCCACCTGCCTCGGCCTCCCAAAGTGCTGGGATTACAGGTGTGAGCCACCGCACCCAGTCTGTTTTGTTTTTTGAGACAGGGTCTCACTCTGTCACCCGGCTAGCGTGCAGTGGTGCAATCATAGCTCACCGGAAGCCTGGGCCTCCGGAACTCAACTGATCCGCCTACCTCAGCCTCGGGAGCAGCTGGGACCACAGGGGTGCACCACCATGTCTTGCTAAAAATTTTTTTTTAATGTTATAGAGACAGGGTCTTGCTATGTTGCCCAGGCTGCGCTCAAACTCCTAGGCTCAAGAGATCTGCTCACCTCAGCCTCCCAAGGTGCTGGAATTACAGGCATGAGCCAATGTGCCTGGCCAAAAGTCAACTTTTTTTTTTTTTTGAGACGGAGTCTCGCTCTGTCACCCAGGCTAGAGTGCAGTAGTGCGATCTCAGCTCACTGCAACCTCCGCCGCCCGGGTTCAAGCAATTTTCCTGCCTCAACCTCCCAAGTAGCTGGGATTACAGGCATGTGCCACCATGCCCGGCTAATTTTGTATTTTTAGTAGAAATGGGGTTTCACCATGTTTGTCAGGCTGGTCTCGAACTCCTGACCTCAGGTGATGCACCCGCCTCGGTCTCCCAAAGTGCTGGGATTACAGGCGTGAGCCACCACGCCCGGCAAAGAGCCTCGATTTTAAGAGAAGGGAAAAGCCCTGGAATAGGTCTTAAACAGGGGAATACGGTCTGAGTTGCATCAAAAGAAGGTCCCACTGGCTCAAGAACTGAGAATGGATTATATGCGGGCACAAGTGGAAGCAAGGAGACCATGTGAGGGCCCTCTGTGGTTGTTCACATGAGAGATGATGGGGGCCGGGGCCAGGGCAGTGAAGGTGCACATGGTCTCTTTGTCCAGTTCTGTTTCTGCCCCTGCTGGGGTTCTCTATCTCCTTCCTGGGTCTTTGCCCCCCTCTCTTGAGTCTCTTTACCTGCCCGTCTTCTCTGGGTCTTTTGTTTTTTTTTTTTTTTTTGGAGGCGACCTCCACCTCCTGGGTTCAAGTGATCCTCCCACCTCAGCCTCCCAAGTAGTTGGGATTACAGGCATGCACCACCACGCCTGGCTAATTTTTGTATTTTTAGTAGAGACGGGGTTTCACCACATTGGCCAGGCTGGTCTCAAACTCCTGACCTCAGGTGATCCTCCCCCCTCGGCCTCCCAAAGTGCTGGGATTACAGGCGTGAGCCATGGCGCCTGGCCTGCCCCCTCTCTTGAGTCTTTACCTGCCATCTTCTCTGGGTCTCTGTCTTCTTCTCGGCTCTTCCCGCCGCAGCTCCCTTCTCTGTGTGCCTGTACTTCTTATGGGTCTTTGACCCCCATCTTTTGTAGATGTAGTTTCCCCTTTCTCACTGTCTTTTTCTCCCTTTCTCCGAATCTCCCTCTGGGGCCTCTGTCCCTCCTCCACATCTCTGTCTTCCTCAGGGCCTCTGTTTCTCTCACTCTGGGTTTCTGCCCCCTTCGCTCCGAGGCTCTGTCCCTGTCTCCTAGGTTTCTGCCTCTCTTTGGGGTGCCTGCACCCCAGAACTGTCTCTGAATCTCCCTTGGACTTTGCCTTCAATGACTGTGTCTCCGCCTCTTTGACTCTTTCCCCATCTGGTCTGGTGGGAACTCGCCTAGTACCCAAGGCCTTAGGGTTCATCTTCCCCATTTGTCCCAATATGAGGGGTCTCCCCATAACCCCCGTTCCTGGCTGTCCTTTCACTTCCCGTCTCCCGGGTCTCCCCTCTCAGCTCGGTGTCTGGGCTGAAGCAGACACTGCTGGCGGAGTCCGAGGCTCTGACCAGCTACAGCCACCGGGTGTTCTCGGCCTGGGACTTCGGTCTCTGCGGGGACGTCCACGTGCGGCTGCGCCAGCGCATCATCTTGTACGAATTAAAGGTGCGATTAGGGAGCGGGGTCTGCAACTGGGTAGGGACCAGACAGGACCGGGCTGAGATAACGCACAGGGCCTAACTCGGTGATGGGGCCTCCGGAGAGATGCTAAGCAGCTCCTTCTCCAAGAAAGGCAGGTCCTGGGGAATGAGAAGGTTGAGAGGAGGCCGAGATAGGGCTGCCCGAGCTCCAAGCGTGTAGGAAAAGGATGCGCCAGGGCTGGGATCGGTGGCTAATGCTTGTAACCCCAGCACTTTGGGAGACCGAGACAGGTGGATCGCTTCAGTCTAGGAGTTCGAGACCAGCCTGGGCAACATAGGGAGGCTCCCTCTCTACCAAAAAAAAAAAAAAAAAAGTTTGTTTTTTTTTAAGTAAGCACAAGAAGCGGGCGGGGCCTAAGGCAATTTGGTTCAAAGTTAAGTGATGGGAGCGGCCAGCAGGGCGTCTTGATACAGCTGAACTGGAACTTCAGGCCAGGAATAAAGCGCAGGGCCACCTGGGGGCGGAGCCTCTGATGGGCAGGGCTGACCAGGGGCGGGTCTTGGGATGCTGGGCGGAGCCTCAGGGGCGGGGCCTGGGGTGCTGAGATTGACCGCGGAGGGATGGGGGCTTGGCTTGCTGGATCCGGCCGCGAAGGGGCGGGGCTGTAAAGGGCCGCTGGTTTCCTGGAGCGGGTGGAACCAGGACTGCAGAGGTTGTTAGCGGGTGGGGAGACGGCTGCATCAGTTCACGTTAAGGAGGATCTCTGGAGAGCCAGACCTGGGGAACCGGGAGGCCCGCGCCTTGGGAAATGGAGTCCAAGCGGGCATCTCTCCTGCCTTCAGGTGGAGCTGGAGGAGACAGTGGTGCGGCGCCAGGCTGCGGTGCGGACGCTGGGCCAGCAAGCCAGGGTTTGGTTGGTGCGGGTGCTGCTCAACCTGCTGGTGGTCGCGCTCCTGGGGGCAGCCTTCTATGGCGTCTACTGGGCTACGGGGTGCACCGTGGAGCTGCAGGTGCGGACGGTCTTGGAAGAGGAAGCCAGGGGGTCCTGGAACCTACATTTCCAACGGTGGAGGGAGGGGACGGAAGTTTGGGATGCCAGAGATCTTAGAGAGGAAGTATGGGAGAGGGTATGTTCGGACCCTGGACTTAGGGATTTTAAAGGAAAAAGAGAGGCTGGGCGCGGTGGCTTACACCTGTAATCCCAGCACTTTGGGAGGCTGAGGCGGGCGGATCACGATGTCAGGAGTTCCAGACCAGCCTGACCAACATGGTGAAAAACAGTCTCTACTAAAAATACAAAAATTAGACGGGCGTGGTGGTGGGCGCCTGTAATCCCAGCTACTCAGGAGGCTGAGGCAGGAGAATCACTTGAACCCGGGAGGCAGAGGTTGCAGCGAGCCGAGATCGCACCGCTGCATTCTAGGCTGGGCAACAGAGCGAGACTCTGTCTCAAAAAAAAAAAAAAAAGAAGAAGAAGAAGAAGAGGCCGGGGGGAGGACCTTAAGCTTGGCTCCTCCAGGACCCCAAGCCTCTACTCATGGTCCATCCCGCTCCCAGGAGATGCCCCTTGTCCAGGAGTTGCCACTGCTGAAGCTTGGGGTGAATTACCTTCCGTCCATCTTCATCGCTGGGGTCAATTTTGTGCTGCCGCCCGTGTTCAAGCTCATTGCTCCACTGGAGGGCTACACTCGGAGTCGCCAGATCGTTTTTATCCTGCTCAGGTTCCAGCCTCACGGGGATGGCTGGGAATGATGAAGGGTGGGGGCGGTCAGAGGGATGTTGGCGCTGACAGGTAAGACACGGAAATCCTGCTGATACCGAATCCAGGGATTCAAATCCTGACTCTGTTGGCCAGGTGCAGTGGCTCACACCTGTAATCCCAGCACTTTGGGAGGCCGAGGCTGAGGTCAGGAGTTCGAGACCAGCCTGACAAACATGATGAAACCCCGTCTGTAGTAAAAATACGAATATTAGCCCGGCGGTAGTGGCTTCTGTAGTCCCAGCTACTCGGGAGGCTGAGGCAGGAGAATGGCTCGAGCCTGGGAGGTGGAGGTTGCAGTGAGCTGAGATCGCGCCACTGCACTCCAGTCCGGGTGACAGAGTGAGACCCTGTCTCAAAAAAAAAAAAAAAAAGAAAGAAAGAAAGAAAGAAATCCTGATTCTGTCACTGGGCCTCAGCTTCATCTGTGAGATGGGTTGAATGCGGGCGCGTTCCACTGAGAAGGGAACTGCCACATGGTGGGTACCGGGTCAGGGCCCATTCTCTGCCTTCCCCCCTTCAGGACCGTGTTTCTTCGCCTCGCCTCCCTGGTGGTCCTGCTCTTCTCTCTCTGGAATCAGATCACTTGTGGGGGCGACTCCGAGGCTGAGGACTGCAAAACCTGTGGCTACAATTACAAACAACTTCCGGTGAGAACGGCATGGGTGTGCGTGGGACTCTTGGGTCCCTGAAGGAAAGATGGAGCTGGGTGGGTCCAGACTCTTGGTTTGGGCGGAGAGGGGAGCTTGGGGTGCTGGAACACTCTCCCAAGGGTATGAAAGTTTGAAAAACGAGGACCCCCAGAGAAAGTATTGACAGGGTCTCATAGGCTTGCGATGTGGAGACTCGGACGCGTGGGCCTCCAGGTGCCCGGGTCCCGAGTTCTTTCTGATATATTTCTTCCTTCTTCAGTGCTGGGAGACTGTCCTGGGCCAGGAAATGTACAAACTTCTGCTCTTTGATCTGCTGACTGTCTTGGCAGTCGCGCTGCTCATCCAGTTTCCTAGAAAGTGAGAGCCCCGCCCCTTGCTGTGGCCCCGCCCCTCTAGGACGAGGCCCTGCCCCATCGCGCTGTTCTTTTCACCGCGCACCTTTTTACCATTCCCGCCTCTGCCTGCTCCCTTTGCTTGCCCTAGGTCCGCAGATCTCCCCGCTCCCCGCCCTTGTTTTAGTGGGTTACTTCCCTCTGGCCCCGACGGCGGCGACATCTGGGTCCCTTCTAGTCCTCAGGACCCGCCCTCTGGACACACCCCCTCCACGTGGAGTCCTGAAAGTCCCGCCCCCCCCCCCCCACCAATACGCATGCTTCCTATTGGCGGGCGGGGCGGTGGAGGCGTGGAAACTCCAGGCCGCCGCTCCCCTGACTCCGGCCCGGCCCCGCCCCGTCCTTCAGGCTCCTCTGTGGCCTCTGTCCTGGGGCGCTGGGTCGTCTGGCGGGGACCCAGGAGTTCCAGGTGCCCGACGAGGTGCTGGGGCTCATCTACGCGCAGACGGTGGTCTGGGTGGGGAGTTTTTTCTGCCCTTTACTGCCCCTGCTTAACACGGTCAAGTTCCTGCTGCTTTTCTACCTGAAGAAGGTAAGGGGTAGGGGGGACCCTTGGGTCTGAGGCAGGAGGTATTGGGGCCCGCACTCCTGGGTCAAGGGCAAGGAAGATCCTGGGGGCCTGGATTACTCGGTCCTGAGAGAGGAGGGGGTTGGAGGACAGACTACTGCATCTGAGAGGAGGGGTCTAGGGCATTCTGACTTATATGTCTGAGGATCTGGGGACTCAGACTCCGGGGTCCTAGATGAGGAAGGGGCTCAGACTCCTGGTTCGGAAAAAAGGAGAGGCAGGTAGGCCGGGTGCAGTGGCTCACGCCTGTAATCCCAGCACTTCGGGAGACTAAGGCGGGTGGATCACCTGAGGTCAGGAGTTTGAGACCAGCCTGGCTAACATGGCAAAACCCCGTCTCTACTAAAAATACAAAAAAAATTAGCCGGGCTTAGTGGCAGGCGCCTGTAATCCCAGCTACTCAGGAGGCTGAGGCAGGGGAATTGCTTGAACCAGGGAGGTGAAGGTCGAAGTGAGCCAAGATCGTGCCACTGCACTCCAGCCTGGGCGACAGAGCGAGACTCCGTCTCAAAAAGAGAAAACAAACAAACAACAACAACAGCAAAACAAATTAGCCGGGAGTGGTGGTGCACACCTGTAATCCCAGCTACTCGGGAGGCTGAGACACGAGAATAGCTTGAACCCGGGAGGGGAGGCTGCAGTGAGAGCCACTGCACTCCAGCCTGGGCGACAGAGCGAGACTCTGTCTCAAAAAAAAAAGCCTGGGCGACAGAGCGAGACTCTGTCTCAAAAAAAAAAAAAAAAAAAAATGGAGGCACAGACTCTTGTGTTTCAGAGCCCTTTTCTCCGTGCCTTCCCCCACCAGCTTACCCTCTTCTCCACCTGCTCCCCGGCTGCCCGCACCTTCCGGGCCTCCGCGGCGAATTTCTTTTTCCCCTTGGTCCTTCTCCTGGGTCTGGCCATCTCCAGCGTTCCCCTGCTTTACAGCATCTTCCTGTAAGTGCGAGAGGCTCCCGCCTCTCTCCCTCCCTCTCTCCCCATTCAGTGTTCAGACTCCTGGCACTATGTGAGCCCAGCCTGTCTTGACTTCAGGATCCCGCCTTCTAAGCTTTGTGGTCCATTCCGGGGGCAGTCGTCCATCTGGGCCCAGATCCCTGAGTCTATTTCCAGCCTCCCTGAGACCACCCAGAATTTCCTCTTCTTCCTGGGGACCCAGGCTTTTGCTGTGCCCCTTCTGCTGATCTCCAGGTGAGACGGCCCAGACTTCTGGGTCTGGGTTTGAATGCGTGTGATCTGGGGGCCACCACCTGCGTCCAAGAGAGGAGAGGCTTGGGCGTGGGAGCAGGCAACGTACTGAGTCTGAGGGAGGAGGCCTAGGCTCCTGGACTGCTGGGTCCGAAGGAGGAGGTGGGCGGGACGTAGGACTCCTGGATCTGAAGGCGGAGGGGCTGGGAGACTGAACTCCTTGAGCCCAGACGAGGAGGGGCTTAGGCGTCCACATCCCTGGCTTCGAAGGAGCCAGACGTTTGGATATAATGGAAGAGCGTGTCAGGAGTGGCTTCCGTTCCTGTCTCCTTCAGCATCCTGATGGCGTACACTGTGGCTCTGGCTAACTCCTACGGACGCCTCATCTCTGAGCTCAAACGTCAGAGACAGACGGTGAGCCAGGCGGGTCCCTGAGAGGGCCCCTGGGGAACATGGAAAGGGGTTGGGGAAGAGGATTGTCTCACCTCCACCTCTCTTTGCCCCAGGAGGCGCAGAATAAAGTCTTCCTGGCACGGCGCGCTGTGGCGCTGACCTCCACCAAACCGGCTCTTTGACCCCCGCAGCCCACGTCCCGCTTTCAGACCCCAGGCCCATTGTAAGCCTAGGTCACAACATCTGTAAACTAGGAGAACTGGAGAAGACTCCACGCCCTTCCAGCTTTGGTATCTGGAGATTTCCAGGGCCCCTCGCCGCCACGTCCCTGACTCTCGGGTGATCTTCCTTGTATCAATAAATACAGCCGAGGTTGCTGAGCGCGCTTTGAAATCTGCGTCCTGAAGGTGGGGGCAGGGCTACAGCGGGGCAGGAGCCAATCAAATGTACGGGCATGTTTGTCGGTGCAGAGCGCTCTTCCGCAAGGAGACTTGTCGGTCATGTCGGCCAATCGACGGCCGCATCTGGTAGCATCAGGGGCGGGCCAACTTATGATTGGTTCAGATCTGTGACAAGAGGCGGTTGCTAGGGGATACCACGAGCCGAACGCCTAGCATTCGCTGTGATAAAGGGCGTCTCAGCCAATCACCTGTCGCTACAGGCCAGGGGGCCGTACCAACTAATTCGGAACCAATCCGCGGTCGAAGTAGGGACAAGAAAAAGGGGGGCATCCTCTCGCCAATCGGAAGTGCAAAGAGGCGGGCGTGCCAGTCCCTGGACAGCTACGACGCCATGAATATCTTGCCCAAGAAGAGCTGGCACGTCCGGAACAAGGACAATGTCGCCCGCGTGCGGCGTGACGAGGCCCAGGCCCGGGAGGAGGAGAAGGAGCGTGAGCGGAGGGTGCTGCTGGCTCAGCAAGAGGTAAGCTCGGAAGCCGGCAGGGCGGCGCTCCGGGGCCCAGCGCGCAGGCGCCGCGGTTGGGGGCCGGAAGCGGAGGCGTTGCGCAGGCTCAATGTGCCCCGTGTGAAATTCGGGACCAGGCGCCGATCCCACTTTCGAGGACGTTGCCCCGCAAACCTTGTGCCCACTTCCACGAAACCTTCCTTGATCTCGCCCTCGTCTTAGTTTTTCCCCCACTGATGTATTTCACATGGCTGGAACAGTGTCTAGCACAAAAGAGAAGCTTAACATTTAATGAATCCGTGAACCCTTGGACAGTTCAAGGAAATTCGGATCACTTTTTAGTTTGCCTGCACAGCCTATTTATTGAGCATCTACTGTATGCTAACTACATGCCGTGCACCTGACTTGCGGAATCCCCAATAAGCACTGTTCGTTCTTAGAGGGGCACTGTCATCTCTGTTGCACGAAGTGAGATGGCTTCAGTGAGGGGAAGGCACATTTTAAGGAGAGGCGGACAGCCAGGCTCCACGCCATCGGGCGAGCCCTTTCGTGCACCGCCCCCTAGACACATACACACAAACACGGGCTTTCCGTATGGCTCTTTAAATCTGTTTGGTGTACACCCAACTTTCATTTCCTTAGCTAGTCTGATCCTCCGCCGTGGGTGGGAGGTAGTCTAGGTTTTTAGAATCTCAGTAGGCTGCTGAGCGCTGTTTGAAATCCGCGTCCTGAAGGCAGGGGACAGGGCTTCAGCAGACTTGGGGTAGTCACTTGGAGCCATGGCTAGAATTCAGATCGTCTGGCCTAATGCATACCTTTATGGCTGTTTTAATTGTCTCACTTGAGGTTAGGAACCCCTTTGGTTTAGGCCAGGGACCTCCTCCCATACATCCTTGATGACCCGTGGTTTACTATTTGAAAGGGAGTTTACAAAACCCAGGCGTTGCCTCATCTGCCTACCCTCACCCCCAGCTAGGACAGGTGCCTCTTTTAGGCGCCTAGTGCTCCCTTTCTCATAACCCCAGCACCCTGGACTGCCATTTTCTGTGGTGGGCACCAGACTCACAGTTCTTGAATTACCTCTAGGTTCTGAATGTCCTGCCTATAACTTTCTCCCCAGGCCCGTACAGAATTCCTACGGAAGAAAGCCAGACATCAGAACTCACTGCCTGAGCTTGAAGCAGCAGAGGCGGGAGCCCCAGGTTCTGGCCCTGTGGACCTGTTTCGGGAGCTGCTGGAGGAAGGGAAAGGAGTGATCAGAGGCAATAAAGAGTACGAGGAAGAAAAGCGACAGGAGAAAGTAAGCTGGCCTCACCCACTTCATCAGAGGGGCCATGAATCGAGTTGGAGGGAGGGGGCACTTTAGCCATTGGTTGTGACCAAGGTCAAACAAGAGTGAACACACAGAATTTAGGACCATACCAAGGCATGACACTCAAAAAGCGTTGGCTATTGCCGTCTGGGCGCCCACAGGGGTTGGAGGTAGATGCTAGAGGTCCCCAGCTGCTGGGCAAACCGCTCAGTTCTCCAAACTGGAGGAGTCTCAAACCTGATGGGCTTTTAAAAATTTAAATCAGCCGGCTGTGGCTCACGCCTGTAATCCCACCACCTTGGGAGGCTGAGGCGGGTGGATCACCTGAGGTCAGGAGTTCAAGACCAGCCTGGTCAACATGGTATCTCTAAAAATACAAAAAAAATTAGCCGGGCATGGTGGTGCGCGCCTGTAATCCCAGGGAGGCTGAAGCAGGAGAATCGCTTGACCCAGGAGGTGGAAGCTGCAGTAAGCCGAGATTGCGCCACTGCACTCCAGCCTGGGTGACAGAGCGAGACCCCATCTCAAAACAATCAAACAAAAAGTGAATCAATCGCCTCTTGCTTTTTGGCTAAGATCAAGTGTAAAAGGTACATCAGTGGCTGTGCATGGTGGCTCACGCCTGTAATCCCAGCACTTTGGGAGGCCAACGTGGGTGGATCACCTGAGGTCAGAAGTTCAAGACCAGCCTGGCCAAACATGGCAAAACCCCGTCTCTACTAAAAATACAAAAATTAGCTGGGCATGGTGGTGTGTGCCTGTAATCCCAGCTACTCGGGGGGCTGAGGTAGGAGGATTGCTTGAACCTGGGAAGCAGAGGTTGCAGTGAGCCGAGATCGTGCCACTGCACTCGAGTCTGGGCAACAGAGCGAGACTCCATCTCAAAAAAAAGAGGTACATCAGCTCTTGTCATTTATCTGCTGTCTCTGGACTTGCTGACCCCACCCATCGCTCCTCTGCTTTGCTTGATCCCTTCAGGCTTCTCTTCAAGTCTCTCTGCAAAGATGCCTGCCTCTGAACACTCAAGTGGCTCCACTTGTCCCCTCCTTCCCCTGCTGTTACTGTACCTGCTACTGTCCCCCCAGGGGGAGCTTTGCCTCTGTTTGTCTTCCATCCCCAGCACCTGGTCCAACTGGTTCATAACAAGCCTTAGATACCTGTTCGCTTAGATACCTGTGTCAGGGAGACACACCTGACACCTTGAAAGATTATATCACATCTCTTGTATTTCCTGGCCCCCTCAGGAGAGGCAAGAGAAAGCTCTGGGCATCCTGACATACCTGGGCCAGAGTGCAGCGGAGGCACAGACTCAACCCCCTTGGTACCAGCTACCCCCAGGGCGAGGGGGCCCCCCGCCCGGCCCAGCCCCAGATGAGAAGATCAAGAGCCGTCTGGACCCTCTGCGGGAGATGCAGAAGCATCTGGGGAAGAAGAGACAGCACGGCGGTGATGAAGGCAGTCGCAGCAGAAAGGAAAAGGAGGGGTCTGAGAAGCAGCGACCCAAGGAGTAAGAAGACCCCACCTCGGCAGACCAGGGCCCAGACCTTCAGGGCTTGGCAGCAGCCCAGCATGGGCACTGCAGCGTCTCTGGTCAGGACAGCCAGGGACTCCGTGAAGGGCTGGCTAGGTGGAGAAGTGGTTCTCAGCATGTGGTCCAGGGAGCCCTAGGGGTCCTGACACCCTTTCCCGGGGTGCTGTGGTGTCAAGCCTATTTTCCTGACACTGGTGGACTTTTCCACTCGTGTTCTCAGGCATGTAGTGCAGGTTTCCAGAGGCTGTGTGATGGGGAGACACCCTCACTCTGATGGCCAATGGCAGATGCTTGTGTCCAGACTTTCTTAGTTTTCACTAATGATTTGCAGCATATTAAGAGAACCCATTTAAACAAAAGCTCTTGGGGTCCTTGGTTTTTAAGAGTATAAAGGGGTCCTGAGACCAAAGAGTTTGAGAGCTGCTGGGTTAGAGAGTAAAAGCAGGCTTCTGTCTCCAGGATGCTGCACCCCTGGTCTAGAGGGGGTACACTGCCTGTAGTCTTCTTTCCTCTAGAAAGGGAAACTGAGGGCCAGGGGGCTGCTAAGTGTGCTTTCTTGACCTGGAGAAGCATCAGATTTTAAAGACTGGGGAGGACCAAAGCCCACAGAAGGGAAGGCCAGAGACGTGCCCATGGCGTCCCAGCACCAAGTGGCTGCTTCCAGCAGGCCTAAGGAGCTGAGGCTGGGGTGTGCTGGATGCAGCGGGGCTTCCAGGCGGCAGCTCCCTCTATGGGAGAGGTTGGGGGAATGGCCTCCTAGGGGCTACCAGCTTTCTGACCTCACTCCTCTCCCCACAGGCCTCCATCCCTGGACCAGCTTCGAGCTGAACGTCTGCGGAGGGAAGCAGCTGAGAGGTCTCGGGCAGAGGCCCTGCTGGCCCGGGTCCAAGGCCGGGCACTACAGGAGGGTCAGCCGGAAGAAGACGAGACGGATGACCGGCGGCGGCGGTACAACTCCCAATTCAACCCCCAGCTGGCCCGGCGCCCCCGCCAGCAGGACCCTCACCTTACTCACTGACTCCTGAGGGGGTACAGGAGAGGCCGCTGCTGCCAGCCGTCATATAAAACTATTTATTCATAAATATTTTCCAAAATGAAAATAGGTTTACCAAAAAATGTCCCTCACTGGGGAGGGGAGGAGGGGGCAGCCCTCGCCCCCGGGCCCCCAGGGTGGGGCTGAGAGGAAAACCTCCCGGCCCCCTCCCTGCTTCCTGGGAGAGGGGGATGCCCCGTGGCTTGGGGCCTCCCTCCAGTCTTCCAGGGCAGGGCCCTCACCTGGGCAGGGGGATCAGCATGCGGGGGAAGGGGGTGGGTAGAGGGAGGGGCCGGTGTCACTGGAGGTCCCGGTCCTCCAGGTAGCGGTACTCAAAGGTGAAGCCTTCCTTCTTCCGCTGGCCCCACTTCTCGTAGTCAAAGTAGATGTAGGTGCCCTGGCCGGGGGAGAAGGCGGTCAGTGAGTGGACGAGGAGGTGGTCTGGGATCTGGGCCGGACCAACAGACAAAGGGGACAATTCTTAGGGCTGTGGATGTGTCAGGCACCGGGCCAGCTGCCCTGCACGCACACACTCTCATCCATCCTCACAAGGTTCTTCTTGGGTAGGAAATGTTATCATGCCACTTCAGCGAGGAGGAAACGGAGGGGGCCGCAGAGGTTCCACCGAAGCCAGCTGCCAGAACGGGGCCCCAGCCCCAGGTGTGAGTGCACAGCCTTCGTTTCCTCGAGGGCTGTGGCTTTTGAGCACCTCTCACGTGAGTACAGGATGCACAGCCTAGCATTTAATCTTCACAAAGACCTCGAGGCAGTGGGTACTGTCACCCTTGTTCTAGAGAATGGAACAGTCTCAGAGTCTAAATCCAAGCACTCTGCAGGGACATTTTATTGGTGACGAAGTGGTGTGGGAATTTCTGAATGACTGGATGCCCTGAAATGTACTAACTTGGAGGATGGTTTTGGGCCAAACCAGGAAAGGACAGGAAGTCTGTGGTTAACATCTGAGGACACAATGGGAGAGGACCTAGGTTCTAAATGAATGTCTTAAGTGCTTCAAAGATGGCAACCTGGGAGAACCAGGAGAGGGGACTGAGTTCTCTGAGGACAAGGACCTTGTACTACTTCATCCCCATGAAGGGGCTCGGCATCAGGGAAGTATTTGGTGGAAAAAAACATCACTGTAGAACACACCAACTGAAAGTAATTTGAAAAAAAAAATCCATGACACTGACTATGTAGCAGTCACCATTAAGTACTTACATGTTATTAACTCATTTAATCTTCATAACAACTGCATTAGGTAGGTGGTCTTCCCCCCATTTTTACAGATAAGTTAATTGAGACACAGAGGTTCGAGTGACTTGCCTAGAGTCGCCCAGCTGCACTGGGCTGAAACCCAGGTAGGTTGGTTCCAGAGTGTTTGCAAGCAGCAGGAATTTCCCAGTATTAGAACTTGAGAAGCCCATTCAAAAAAAATAGTTTCGGCACTGAGCCCCTGCCCTGCTGAGTGCTGGGACCTGGAGGTGAAGTGGGGGCCATCAAGGTCCCTCGGCAGCAGAGCCCACAGCCTGGTGCAGGGACACATACTGGGAAAATCCCACACCCCAAGCGAGTGTGCCCAGCACTGCAAAGGGGAGGCACTGGGCTGGGTGGCTCCAGGAAGGTTTCTTTGAGGAAGGGACATTTGGGCTGAGACCTACAGGAGGCCTAGGAGCTGGCCAAGTGGAGGATGAGAGGGCGGTGTTCCAGGCTGAGCAGACAGCCAGAGGGAGGAGTACTTGGTCAGGCTGAGGGACTGCGCCAGCTGAAAGGTGGAGGCAAGGGAGCAGAGGCCAGCAGGGGCTGCCTGGAGCCTGGGGACTCTACCCCAACCCTAGCAGCGGGAAGAGAGGGGGCGGGGCCCTCACCTGCTCAAACTCGTCAGTGATGGTCTTGGGCTCCTCGTGCCTCTGGAACCACATCATGTACTTGGTGTGGAATCGCCATGACTGCTTCTTTAGGGCCTTGGCTGCCAGATACTGTGCCTTAGTGCCCTGGGGGAGGAACAGTGGAGAGGGGGATCAGGGGGCCCCCAAACTGGGTGGGGAGCCAGGGGAATGGGGCAGGACATCAGGGCTGAACCCCGGCCCCCGCCACAGACCACAGTTGGGCTGGACAATCCTCTTGGAGATGGGGCTGGGGGCACAGAACATACCAATGCTGATCAGGAGAAGGAAAATGAGACAGGAGGTGAAAATTGCTTTCAGAGAAGCTTTGAGAAGGAAGAAAAACTAATGTGTGATGAGAGCTGAGAGAGGAGGCAATTTAGAAAATTTCCCAAGTGGGGATGAGGGTGGAGGTCACTCATGACTCACTGGGGTTGGGAGGGGGCTGGACAGCTCCCCAGTGGTCTCCAGGGAGGCCTGAGAATGTGCCGATGAGCAGAGTGGGGTCGGCCTAGACTGGGGCTGCTGGAGCAGGGCTGGGGAGGGGCCGCGGGTGAGCCAGTGGGCAACTGGAAGCGGGGCTGAGGTGTGCCTCAGTGGACCAGCCTCGCTGTCAACCCAAGCAGTTCTAACATCTCTGGGCTGGAAGGCGGGGACGGGGACAGGTGGATTTGGGGCAGGGGCCCAGGAGTGGGAATAGGGAGGGGGTGCGGTCCCAGTGGCCGCAGTGGGGCACCCACCTCACCCCTCCAGCCCGAGGGGGGACGGCGGCGGTGGCGGCGAAGCCGGGGGGCCCGAGGCTGCCCCGGGGGCCCTGCTGTACCTCCAGATAGTAGAAGATGAAGAAGAGTGTCTCGGTCGACAGGCGCTGGTAGAATTCCACAGTGTCCGAGTGTGGGGGTGGCATCTGGTGGTGGTAGGGGGGCGTCGGACAGGGGTTCCGGGGGAGGTACTGCCTGTGAGAGCAACAGGAAGGTCAGTGCCAGCTGCCTACTAGTCCTGTCGTGATCAAAAGGGTGCTCAGACATGCATCCCTGCGGGGGGAGGTGGTACAGAAAGACCCAGGGCGGTGCTGACCTTCAGTGGAGAGCCCAAGTCAGGGGCCTGGTGCTCTACCCACAGCCTCACAGGTTCAGCCACTGCCTCCTCCGTAAGACTCAAGTCCCAGACCATCCCCCTTCCCTGTGGCCCCTCACCGAATACGCTCAGAGTCAGAGGGGTGAGGCATGTGGTGCCAGGCGGCCTCTTCCATGGCCTGCTGATAGAGCTGCTCCTTGGTGAGGGGCACAGGGCCCAGTGGACAGACACCCAGCGACAGCGGTATGTTCACCTCTGACAGCTGCAGGGGCGGCTGGGCTGAGGCCGGAGGTGCTGATGTACTGCTCAGGATGATGTCTGTGGGGAGGGTGGGGGTCCGGCCCCCTCAGTGGTGAGGATGGGTCAGGGGCAGCCCCTCCTCTTTGGCCCGCTGCTTCCCCACCATCCTGGGTCCCTCACCTCGCTCGGTCAGGTGCAGCGTTGGCACAGGGTCCTCAATGCCAGAGCTGATGGCTGCCCGTTCCGCCATGGACTTCAAGGAGCTCAGAGGCTCAGGGGCCTGGGGAGGAAACAAGAGGCCTGGCCTGAGCACTTGGGCTGCAGGAGCAAGTGCAGCCTGACACAGGCCCCAGATGCTCTCACCTGCCCTGTTTGGGGGCCGTGGAGGGCCAACGACCCACTCCCCACAATCTACCCATGACAGGTAAAAGCATCAAACTGTAGGGAAACAATCGGAGACCACGACGCATTCATCAGCAGAGGAACGTCTCGTGAGTGGGACTCTGCAGCATGGAATACTACGCCGAGATTTTCAAAATACAAGTTCGTGACATACTACAGAAGTAAACGCCAACCTGCAGAATATGTACAGTGCGCTACCATTTTTGTCAAAGGATGTGCCAATAGTACACGCTCCTTCACTAGGGACACCTACACGCTGGGAGAGCTCCCGCCTGTCTTGAAGGAGGCAGGAGGTCTACATGCTCAGCTGTCTGCCTGTGACTGGCATGGGGTGACTGGAATCGGGGTGGGCCCAGCCCGGCTAGGCTTCAGTCTCCTTGCTGGAAACAGGTAGGTTGGGTCTCCAGCCCCGCAGCCACAGCCTCGTTTCCTATTACAAAGGTTACAGCAGGCTTCTGTTCCCCAAAGTCAGGGCTGGTTCCTCCCATCTCCTCCAGCCACGTGCAGCTGTCCCAAACCCCAGCCCTGTGCTGGACTCTCCACAACGAGTCAGTCGCCAAGGCTTATCCATTCTGTCTCGCTATATCGCCCAGGCAGGTCTCAAACTCCTGGGCTCAAGCTATCCTCCCGCCTCTGCCTCCCTAAGAGCTGGGATTACAGGTGTGAGCCACCACGCCCAGCTATCCGTCCTGCTTCTAAACCCCACTGGATGGCTCCCTTCCCTGTCGTGCCACCATGTCCCACACAGCCCAGGCCTGTCCTCTCCTGCCCAGACCACCCTCCCTCTATCCTGTCCTCACCAGCCCCAGGGGACCTTTCCAATGAAGTCATGTTGTTCCTTCTCTACTCCAAACCTTGCCATGGTTCCCGACCACCCACCCCAGCGATTCATTTTTGTTGTTGGTGGTGTTAAAAGATATGGACCCCTTCTGAAAATCTCAAAGCTGCTGTTTCCCTTTTTCCAGAAAAATGCACGCACTATAAATATCCTGTCCACCTACTTCTAAAATTTGGGCCGGGCACGGTGGCTCACACCTGTAATCCCAGCACTTTGGGAGGTCGAGGTGGGTGGATCACCTGAGGTTCGGAGTTCAAGACCTGCCTGACCAACATGGCAAAACCCCATCTCTATTAAAAATATAAAAATTAGCCTGGCGTGGTGGCAGGCGCCTGTAATCCCAGCTACTCAGTAGGCTGCGGCAGGAGAATCGCTTGAACCCAGGAGGCGGATGTTGCATTCAGCTGAGATTGCACCACTGCACTCCAGCCTGGGTGACAGAGCAAGACTCTGTCTCAAAAAAGAAAAAAAAAAAAAATTAATGCTTCTGTTGGGCCAGAAACTGTTCCAAGAGCTTTATGAGGATGATTTAGTCTTCCAAATAACCCTACATAGTAGGTATAATCGTGACTATTGCCGTTTCCCAGATGAAGGCACAGAAAGGACAATGCCAAGACTTGGACCTGGACAGCCTGGGCGCGCACACTGCCTCCTGGACAGCCTGGGCGCGCACACTGCCTCCTGGACAGCCTGGGCATACACACTGGTCCCCCCATGGAAGCTGCGCTACAGTATACTGGCTCACAAGCCAAGCCCCAGCTCCTGACCCTCGATGATCAGGACCCCACCGTCCTATCCTGCTACACCCACTATCTCAGCCCTGCAGCTGGTGGCACTGTCTCCTGCAGAGTGGACACCTCTCTCCTCTCTGCTGCATCCTGCCCAGCTTCCTAAGCACACAGGCAGATGCATGCTCCTCCTAAAGCACCTCCTGAAGCCCTTCCTGCAGCTGTTAGCCCCCCTGCCTGGTCCAGGTCTCAGCTTAAACATCACCCCCTCTCAGACCTTCCTGGGCCTGTCTCCCAGGTCAGGTCAGATGCCCCTCGGTGGGCCCACCGCAACCTTCCCTGCAGCTGCCCCAGCAGGGAAGCTTCCTAAAGGGTGGAACCAGGCTGCATTCACCCAACCAGTCTTTCTACTTGTGCAGAAAGTACACCAGTCTATGCCTTGTGAGGACAAACGGGGACAGAAACTGAGGGCCTGCGGGGGGGATGAAGATGGAGACCCAGAGAGAGCAAGCAACAAGTGCAACCAAGAGAAAGGAAAAGAGACCCAGAGAAACAGAGCTTTGGAGGGAACAAGAGAGGAGGTATGAGAGCCCCCAGAGATCAAGGTCACGGGGAGGGTGGTACAGAAAGACCTGGAGAAAGAGCAAGTGTGAGAAGGGGACAGAAAGCCAGAGAAAGAGATCCAGAAAGAGGGTGGGGGCAGGGGGTGCAGCTAGAGACCTGGAGGAAAGAAACAACAGAGTCAGGACACAGAGGCTCGGGGGATGTCCGAGGAGCCCACCTTGATTTCTGGGGCGGTGCTGAACTGTGGAGGCCCATTGAGCAGGGCACCGGCTGCCTTGGCATCACTGAAGCTGGGCGTTGGGGAGCTGGGAGGATTCACAGGCAGTGGCACCAGGAGGCTGGGTCCCCCTGAGTTGTTCCCTGAGCCTGGGGCCACGCCCCCAGCCCCCGTTGGGGCTGCCGCACTGGGTTCCTTCCTGGAGAGAGAGCATGGAAGAGGGGGTTGAGAGGAGGGTCCCTGAGGGTGGGATGGGCAGAGAGGCCTGGCTGGAGAGAGGGGAGACTGCACAGATCAGATGGGATCTGAGAGGGGCAGGTGAGGGCAGACAGATGGGAGAAAGAAGTGGTTCTCTGGGCAAACAAAGGCAGAGCCCAATCTTTGGAATGGTTTCTCATCAGCAGAGCAGAGCTGTGGGGGTGGGGGTGAGGATTCTCGGGTGCTCCACCAGGCCACAGGCTGATCAAAACCACTTGCCCTGGGCAGGTGTTCACAGGGCCCACTCCCCCTTGGGCAGGCCAGCTGGAGCTGGGGTGAGGGGGCAGGAAGCAGGCCTTTCCTTTGTGCACACTGATCTTTCTTAGGGCATTCTTCGGGAAACAGGCAGACCCAGTGGAATGGTCTGAGCTAAGATTTGAAGGAGTGGCTGCAGAGGAATAAGGACTTCGGGACAATTCACTTTGAAAAGTGAAACAGTGACCCTCCGGTGGCAGTCAATTGGCCTCAGGCAGGTAACAGAAATGGGGAGGAAAGGGTATGGGGCTCTTGAGAAAACTTCCACTTAGATGAGAACGTATTTTAGAATGTTCTGAAGGGCAAAGCAGGGAGGCTGATGTAGTTTCCTTGCTGGAAAGAAGTGGGGGTGTAACACCCGAGGGAGATGGAGGATAGCGCTTGGCCATTCCCAGCAGCAAGGGCGGGGGGTTCAGAACCCACCGATGCGGGGGTGAGGCGCCTGCGCCTCTCTGTTTCAAAAGGCTGCCATCCCAACCCTGCCGATGGCCGAGACACTCACGAGGTGCTGGGAGGTGGGTTGTGGGGGCCGGAAGGGGGGCCCAAGGCCTGGCTGCTGGCATTGTTGCCCCCACTGCTGCTCAAAGCCACCTCTGCCGGGCTGTCTGCCACAACTGAGCTGTAACCTGGGAACAAAGAGTAAATGGAAAGGGCTGCTGCCTGCTGCCCAGCCCCGCCCACGCCCCCCACCCCGCTGCCTCCTCACTCACTGGTGGCGCCATTCTGCTTGCCAGCCCCTCCACCGGCACTGCTGTTACTACTGCTGCTGCTCCCTCCACCTCCGCTGCCGCCGCCTCCGCCTCCGCTAGGCTGGACGCTGGGGGGCCGGGGCTGGGTCGTGCTGGGCCCACTGGGAGCTGGTGGGGCCACAGCCTGGGCATAGGGAGCAGGGGTGCCCGAGTTGTGGCTGGGAGCTGGACTGGCCTTGGGGCCCAGGGCACTTGGGGGTGCTGCGGGGGCGGGGACCCCATTGTTGCCAGGAGTGGTGCTCAAGGCAGAGGCAGCAGGCGGGGGGCCGGAGGGGTAGGTGGGCGGCACAGCTGGGGACTGAGGGTGCTGGTTGCTGTGGACAGGCTTGGAGCCGTTTTTGGCTGGAGACTGCGGGTGGGAGAGAGCAGAGGGTCAGGACCCAGTGGGCCAGCTGGTCTCCCTCACCACCCCCACCTCAGGCTCCATCTTTGTCCCAGCAGCCTCCTCTCTGGCCTCGCTGCCCCCACCTGCTCCTGCCCTCTTGGGGACCTGGGTGACCTTACTCACCCTCATGGCTTCAATCACCTTCATGCTTAAAACACTCACACTGATTTCCAGCCTGCCCAGCTTCCCAAGTCCTGCCTGGACACCGCCCCATGGACACCCCCACAGGGATCTGACACACAACTTAGGTTGTCAGCCAGAGAAGATCCATCTGTTGGAAGCCAGAGGACTAGTGGGAAACACTTAAGTGTTCTCAATATGAGATTAGCTGGAGCCGCCTAATGTCCAAGAGTAGAAGGAAAAACAGCTGGAAATTGGATAGTAATTCTGAATGTCACCTGAAGGGTCACAGAAGCTACTCACAGGGCTGGAAGTTACCAGCACTCCAGAAAGTGGTGGGAGGGTAAATGTGCTCATGGTATCCCTACCGCAGGCAATCTGTGGACAGCACTCCGGCTGCTGAGCCTAACCACCTCCTGGGCTTCTTTCCAGCCACCCCACAGGCACCTTGCGCTTACCAAGCGCCCAACAGGACTGACTACCCACTTCTCTCCTGGGCATCGCTGCTTGGCAGTGGGGGCCTGGGAAGGTGGCAGAGCCCAGCCTGGCCCCTGGAGTACCTGCCTCAGTGTCTCTCCTCATCACCTCCTGGCCCTGTTGCCCGCCCTCACTACTACCTGCGGGTCCCCTTAGTCTCCACACCAGCCTCCTCAATGCCCACTCAGGGTGTCCCCTTGGAACCATCCATCCCGTTAGCCCACAGAGGGGCCTCAGGCCCATGCTGCTCCTGCCTAACATTGTTCTGTAGCAGCGTTTCCGAAAGCGTGCTCCTGTCCTGGGAGATGTTAAAGGAGTTGAAGAAGCACTGCCCGCCACCGTCTCCTCTCAGAAATTTGCAGTGTGTATTATCAGCACAGCAAAGGCCCCATCGCTTCCTAGGCTTATTGGACTCTGGAGGCCACTCAGGTCCACAAAGCCTGAGCCCCTCAGCCTGACAGTCCCAGTCCCTGTGCTCACAGTTGGGCCCTGGCCCTGCAGACCTGGCCAGACTCATCTCTCCTCACTTCCAAACTTTCTGTCACAACTTGCCCATGTTACTGGCTGCCACCTCTCCCTGCCAGGCAAACTCACCTGACTGTGAAGCCCAGGGCACTCCACAGCAGCATCTCCTGACTGCCTGGCCAGGCCAAGGGTGACCTGTGTGCTACCCCCTTGACCACAGCACCAGTCACCTGTCCACTTGCCCTGCCCACCTGCCCTCAGGGCAGCACTGATTTCTGAGCCACCTGTGTCCACCAGCCCAGCACAGTGGCCGGCGCTCAGGCCTCAAGATGCCTTTGGGAAGCAACAGAGGAGTGAATGGCGTGCCCACCCGGTCCAGGCTCACACCCACCTGGCTGACTTCACTGTCTGTGGAACGTCCCCTCTTCTTATCATCTTCAGAGTTTTCCTGAGGTAGGGGAGGCAGAATAGAAACCTGTGTGACCTCTGGGGCTCTGATGGAGAACCGCCAATCTCTGAATGCCCCGGGGACCTGGGCCCAATTGACTGCCATTGCGGCCCCAGAGCTGGTCAAATGGCTGTCCTTAATCTGCCTGGAGAAACCATCTCAATTCAGGCTCTCCAGTCTTCTTGTTTTCTGGGAGCCAGCACTGACCCACCAGCCTCTTAAGGATCTGGGAACCTGCTCTCCACAGGGAAGCCAACCCTTGGATCCCTGCCCAAGGTGGCCAGCTACCCAGCCTCCTCAGGCAGCCCAGGCACCGGCCCCTCCCACTTCCCAGATCCAGGACCTAAACTGGCGCGGGATGCACCCTATTGCTCTTTATGTCCTTTAGGGACCCAGATATAGGACCTTAGCGTGTGCTCCAAGAGCCTAGACCCTGGATACCTAGATCTGTGTTTCCTCAATTACGCTCCCATAGCCACTTTGGAGTGACCCAGATTTGTCTCCTCGAGTCCTGCCCTGCTGGAAACACAAGGTACTAGTGTCCCGTGGGGCCTCACCGTGGTACAGTTGGCTGGGCTGGGCGGGATGGGAGAGCTGGAGGTGGTTGAGGTGGGCGTGCTGCTGGACTGGTTGAAGATCTCATCCTCCATGTGGCTGTGGCTGGGAGGGGAGGTGGCGACCAGCGCCTGTGCTGTGGGGGCAGAAGAAGGGCATGCTTAGCTGGCTCACACAGCCCATTCTGGGCCCTCACTTCCTGTGCCACGATCAGCCCCAGGGCCTCACGAATGTCCTCGAGGTCCAGGTCATCGTAGAGAAACTCGTTCTCCTCGAAGTCGGGGTCCTGGGATGAGTCAACATAGTACTCAACGTCGTCCTTGATCTTGCGGATGGCGTCAACGAGGATGGAGTCATTGTCCAGCATGCGCAGGATGGTCTCTAGCATGCGCACGTGGTAGCGGTGCTTCTCGATGTGCCGCTTCAAGCCCTCAATCCGGTCCTGCTTCTGCTGGCGAGCCCAGGGCCAGGCTCAGGGGCTGCAGAGCACCTGCTTGGCCCCTCCTGCCCCCACAGAACCTGTCCTCAGTCCCTGACCCCTGTGGAGACCCAAAGCCTCCACGCCATCCCCTTCGGGGTGGGGCAGTATGGGGTCCACCCACCCTCTGAGCCCTGTGGGGACCAATCTTAGCCTTGACATCTTGGGATCCCACTGCTCCCTCCTCTCCCCACACCTTTCTGGCTCCAGGAGTCCTTGGAAACCTCTAAAAGACCCAGAGGTCCTTGTGCCATCCCACGACTTGGCCTCCATCTGCACCTCACCTGACAGCCCAGATTTCTCAACTGAGCCCGCCCACCACTGTGACTGCCTCTGGCATACAGATACCCTCCGACCTGCTCCAGCAGTAACAATGATAACCCCCATTTGTGAGGAGCTTGCTGTTTAGAATTGTGATATCTGTCATCACTAGGCCCCCAACCCTACCCATTTATCCCTGAGAGAGCCCAGATTCCTAAGCCTCGCTCCTGCCCTCCCCTCAAGGCCCCTTTAGGATTTAACATCTTAGCCTTGGTTCCAAATCTCTGCTCTGTTCAAGGACCCATCATCTCCCCGAAAGCCCCTGGTTCCCAAACCCCTCAGAGTCTGACACCCAACCCTGTCATCTTCCACTTCCTGACCCTCTCCCACCCACAGCTTCCCTGAGGACCCGGCTCTCCCCTCCCTGTCTTTCTGGTTTCAGCAAGTCTGTACAGTTTGTATCCCTTTGAACTCATACCCCACAATCCCGGATTTTAGAACCTGGGACCCCAACATCCAGCTTTGTCCCAGACTCCTGTCTTCCTTCAGGCCTGGTTCTCTGCCTTCTCCATGTTCTGCCTTGTCTCTACCCACTGTGCTCTCCCTAGGACCAGGGCCCTCTGGGTGCCAGGAGGCCTCTTGCCATGGGTGTCCTTCAGGTCTCACTTTTACTCTGTGGCCCAAGCTCAACCTGCACTCACCTTCCCCCAAGTCGCTCCTCTTCACAAAGGCCCCACGGTCTACCCAGACACCCAGGGGACCCTGAGATTCTGTCTGACCTCCTTCCTGCCCCACGCGTGCAGCTGCTAAGCCCTCCCAATCCTGTCTCTCAAATCCCTAATCCCGGCTGTTGGCCCTGTCCGCCTGAGGAATCCAGGCCCCAACTCCCAGGAGCATAAATGACTGGCCTCCTGCTGGCCAGCCCATTCCCATGCCCATCCCCATCCCAAAGGTGTCGGGTCTCCCTCACTCACATCCTTGTCGCCCTTCTTCTTGCGTGTCTGCACTGACAGTGACTCCACTTCACTCTCAAACTGGTCCACCTGCATGTTGAGCGTGTCGATGGTATTCTAGGGGAGGGAGAGGAAGAGGAAGCCCATCAGCTAGGGTTCCGCCTACACCCAGGGCTCAGGATCCTCAGAGTTCACCTCCTCTTCTCTACCCCAACTCACCGTGAGCCACTGGCCAACCTCTTCCTTCTCCTTCTGGGCAGGATCTACCTTCTGGGCCAGGCCCAGGCCCTCTTTGCTGTAAGCTTTGGTTTTGGTCTCTCGTTCCACAACTTTGAACCGTTCCATTTGCTGTAGAGAGTGCAGTTGGCAGGGGGGCTCTCAAAGGTGGGAAAGGAGCTGACTAAGGGCCAGCAGACACTCCGACCTGAGCCTCGTGACCCTACTTTCTGAGCTCTGAGTCCGCTGCCTCTTCACTTCCCTTAGGTGCAGAAACCTTACTTCTCTTGAGGACCTCTGGGGTCTGGCCGCTCTGCCTCCGCCCCTTGGGATCTCAAGAATCTGGTGACCTTCCCACCTCTCTGGGACTCAGGCTCTGGGCTCCTACCGTCTCAATGAGCTTGCGGTTGTCTATAAGCTGCCTCTTGTCCTTGATCTCGTTGGACGCTACCCATGTCTTGATTTGGTCCCTCAGCCGCTGCAGATGGGAAAAGCAAGAAAGTCAGACCTCAGGACCCAGGAACTGGGGCCCACAGCTCCTTCTCCCTGGGACCCAGCAGTCCACTCTCCCAGTTCCCTCTACCCTCAGGACAAAGGCGTCCAGGCCCCCAGCCCCCTCACTTGTAGCTTCTTAATCTCCTTCTTTAGGTCAGCCTCATACTTTTCTTTCTGGTTCGCGTTGGCTGCATTGTGGAGCTGAGGGATGGAGAGAATTGAGAAGTCAGTGTGGGAGGGGATGTCCCAGTACCCACTCCAGTGATTCTTCCTTATGCTAGGGACTCGAGGACCCCCCCCAACCCCTACCCCCAATCCATCTTAGAGCTGATTCTCTTAGGTCCTCAGCATCTGCATATGTAGCCCCTCCCGCTGGTCAACACCCAGAGGTCCTGAGCCGCCTTCCTGTGCCCTCCTCTCTGAAGACCCAGATTATTAGGGTCTCAGCCCCTGTACCTTCTGCCAAATATCTTCAAACTGCTCCACGCCCTCGGACACCTTCTTGAGGCAGCGATCAATCTCACCTGGCCAGGGAGGAACAAGGCTGTGAGAATCCTGCCCAGGTGGCAGGTATCTAAAGAGCAGTCCTCAGAAGAGGGAGCATGTGGCTACAGGTGCAGCAGGAAGTCAGTCTAGTACCTTGGAGTTTGCGCTTGTCCGCCATCTTCCCTGCCCTACAGACGCACTCTCTTCATACTCTCTTGGAGACGGACGCTGCTAGGAGAGATTGGAGAGGAATTAACACGTATTCCCTGGCTGGTAAAAACCCAGAGACATGGACCTAGTCAGCATAGTGAGGTAGGTGGGACTGGTAAAGAGAAGAAGCATTTGCTATCTGACAAGAGACCAGCCCCAGTTCTCCTGATGCTCGCTTGACTGCCCAGCATAGTGTCTGGCCAACAGGGGACCCCATAAGTTTGTTGAAACAAGAAAAGTTACATACTTTTTTGTGTGCCTCTGACTCAGGAAGTGGAAAATTCCTAGAGCATGGAGTACCTTCTCCCCAGAATACACTCAAAAAGGTTTTTCAGAGCAGGACAGTCATGCTGCACACAGCTGATGACTGGGATGGAGGCATTAGCCCTGGAAATCACACTTCCTACTCAGAGGGGCTGGGCAGAGGTGGCTAGGAGAGGTCATCCCTCAGACAAGTCAGGAGACAAATGAAACTGGCAGCTCACAGAGAAGGGCGTGTGTGTGTGTGTGTGTGTGTGTGTGTGTGTGTGTGTAAGCTGTAGGTAGGAGAAGAAAGATTGGGGGTGGGGGAAAACGACGGCGAGCAGAGATGCCGAAAGCTGTGAAGAGCTGAACCCGCTCATGCAGACAGGGCTGAATGCCAAGTAGAAGGGACTCAAACCACCAAGACATTTATTCCAGAGCAGGATCCTTAAACCAAAAGGAAATAACACTCCTAACCCAAAGAAGCTAATACCAAGAAGGCTTAGAGATTTGGGGGCAGAAGGCAGTACCCAAGAGAGACCTGGGAGAAGACAGAAATCTTACTAAGATAAGAGGGTGCAAAGGTACCGCAGCTGTGAGGGAGCCGATCTGCACTCATGGAGGAATCCCATAGCAAGTGGATTGGTAATTTAGAGTCAGGGAGACATAGACCATCAGGGCAGGAACCCAAAACTTCAAGAGAGGAGCGTCTTTATTTTAAAGGAAGTTACCTGGAACCCAGAGAAGACTGAGGTCAAAAGGGAGTTCCAAGGAGCTTTAGTCCAAGGGAAGACATACCTTAGGGCCTGACAGCGAGACCAGGGGAGCCCTGGGAAGAGAGGCTTATGCCTCAGAAGAAGACTTCTGAGATACCAGCGGAGATTGCCCTCTTCCCCTCCAGGGAGGGGGCCTACAATGAAAAGCACAGTTCCCTGGGATCCACGGGCCGCTCCCACTCTACGTGTGCAGGGCAGGGAACCCTGGAGTAGTCACTTACTGTAAAGACAGAAACAGCCCCATACTGAGGAACAAGAGCCTCAATACAGAGGGAAGTCACACCAAAAGAGTCCTCACCCACAAAGAAGGGAACATCTGGCAAACAGTGCTATCCAACAGAACTTTGCAATGCTGGAAACACTCTATTTGCGCATATCTGTTGGCCACTGAACATCTGAAATGTGGCAAGTGTAATGGAGGAACTGAATTTTTCATTTTTAACTAGTTACTAATCACCACATGTGACTAGCAGCAACCATATGGGACGGATATGCTTTAGAACAAGAAGCCCATAAAGGACAGGGCTGGTACCTTACCCCCAGGGAGAATTTTCCCAACACCGCAGGGACCCATTCTGGGTGATAATAGGTAGGGGTGCTACCTTACACTTGAGGGAATTTAAATCTCCTCAGTAAAAGGCCCAACCTAAAGAAAGCCGCAGCAGCCCCCGCCCAGGTCAGCTATCACGCCCTACCTGGGGAATCTCTAAGAAGGCAAAGCAACCAACAAAAGGACCCAGGAGAAGGTGCCACAGTGGGGATTCAGGCTGAGGAGGGGAAAGCCCCTTTGACCCAGGGAGCTCACACAAGGCAAGGGCCTGGACACCAGAGCTCAGGTGTGCAGGGATCCTCACCAAAGTCCAACACCCCAACACAGAAAAGCCTCTTACTGCATAGGGGGAACAAGAATGTGAAACGAGAGTTTACACTCCCTCTTTCCATCCCAAGAACCCAACAGAGGGTCATGGGCAGGTGCTCCAGCCCAGAGAGAGAAGAGGTCTCATGGTCTACACCCCTAAACAAGGCAATCAACACCTTAGGCAGGTGACGCCCTCCCTGTGTCTCCACACGGAAAGGACTGGTATCCTAGTGCAGAGGAAGAATACCCACAGAGAGGAGACCACACTGTGGCAGCAAGAGAAGGAAGTCCTGGAGGGGTCACAAGCCAGAAGGAGGGGAACAAGAGCGCTAACCCAGGGAGGTGATGTTTCAGACAGAACAGTGTGACATCGAAGTCGGCTACAGCTGAGACCCAGTGAGGAGGCAGCTCCTCCACAGAGAAGGGGCAAGTGCCAGAGGCCCAGGGTACTTGTCCCCTAGAGAGGCTGGAGCCTTAGCCACAGTAGAGACAACACCTTCCCCGCTAAGAAAATCCTTATATCATGAGGGTATCTGTACCTCTGGTCCCCCCAGCAAAGGACCAGAGAGAAGGGAAGCTGGAGCCTGAGTCTCGAAGCAGAGACGCCGCCAGAGAAGAAAGAGCCCCATTTGCTGTAGTCAGGGGGGCATCCACCAAGATCCTCCAAGGAAGGTGGTGATCGCAGGTCCACTCTCAGGCGTGAAGAACCTGTGCTCCAGCAGCAAAGGCTCTCCAAGAGCACTGAGGAATCTGGGAACCTCGGCCCAGGAGGAGACTTACCCAAGAGGAACACACATCCCCACAGGGAAGGGACCCACAAGGCGGGTGGCGGGGCGGGGGGAGGTGAGCAGGACACCAGCCTCACAGGAGCCAACACGCTAAAATCAGAGCCAAAACCAGTAAAGAAGAGCCCCCCAGACTTCATCTCAGGGAAGATGATACCACCACACAAAGACTCGAGGAGGGAGGGGCAGGAGGTCAGCCCTGGGAAACTAACACCGGGTGGTCCTTAACCTTGGGGGCCGTCATGTGCCCACAGAGTGGTCTTTGTCATGAGGCACCTTTGATCTGGGAGAGCTTCCGCCTCTGCAGCAAGGAGCTCTGAGAAGTGATGTTGAAGGGTGATCCTTAACCCAGGTGGCTGCTGACGTGGCCACACAGAGGCTCTGAGACTCCAGAAGAAGGATGCGTTAGGGCCTGGGGTAGAGGTAGTCATCTCCACTGAGATGCCCCATGCCAAGGGTGGGGGGCTGGAATCTCCCACCTTGGAAAGTCTACACCAGAGAAGTCTCTGGTCCCAGGGACAGGGTCTACAGTGGAGTCTCCCGCTTGAGACTCAGGTATCTTACATCCACACAGCCAGGAAACTATGCCTTACCCCATACAGTGACAAATCAAGAGGGGGTTTTGGAAGCATGAGCCGGGGGCACCTGCATCCGAGAGGGGTCCTCAGCCTTACGGTGGGGACACATGCAGAGGCGTGGACACCTCAAATCCAGAAAAGCAGCCATACCAATACCAAGGATGGCAAGAACCTTATCCCTGGGGGAGGTGACACCAAGAAAGGGTCCTTACCCTGGAGAGAAGGCACAGCCCCAGAGGGAAGAGCCCCCACCTCGCAGTACAGGAACCCGGGTCTAGGAAGCTTCCTACTCTCATGGGGTACCAGCAGCGGGGCCAGAAGGCGAAACCCTTGTTCTCCAACTGCTGACACCCAGCGTAAGGGTAGATGGGAAGTCAACAAACCCACAGTGTGGGATCTGATGCAAATATCAAGGGCAGTGGGCTTCTTGGTCCTTGGAGAGCTGACACCCTAAAGGAGGAGACTGGTGTGAAGATGGAAGAAGCCTCATACTCAGGCAGGGGTGAAGGGAGGGAGGGGAGACATCAAAACCCCTCACCAAAAGGACAGGAGAGCTCACCCCGGGGTGGGTGGCCGCCCTGCACTGAGAGGCAGGGACTGCTCAGAAAGAGGGGCTGGTGCTGCCCGCAGTGGGAGCTCACTAACATGGACAGCGTGGCGGCTTAGTGTCTTTCACCAGGCACCTGAGCGCCAGGGGATCCCAGCAGCCCCCAGCAACAAGACCACAGTGGTCCTGATATCACTGGGAGACGCCCACACCCAGAAGGTCGGAGAGTCACGATGCAGGGGAGTTCAAGGCTGCAAAGCCAGGGGCAGACGCCAGGATCAAAGAAGTGTGAGAGCTGAGACCAGACGTGGGCCACACTGAGGACGGTCCTGTACCCCAGGTGGGGGAAAGCCAAACTCCCCCAAAAAGGCAGGCGCCCAGTGCAGCGGGATGGCGAGGCTGGAGCCACCCAGGGCGCTACTCGCTATGAGAGGGAAGAGCTGCAGACTACAGAGGTGGAAACTTCGGCAAAGGCTCCAACTAACGGGGAGTTTCTCCTCCACTCCTCTCCCAAGAGGCTCCCATCCGATACAGACGGGCAGCTGGAACCTGAGATCCAGGGGAGGCTGCGCTCCCGGGAGCAGTGAGGAGGGATGCGGAGGGCGGCCTCGGTCCTGGGAAGGGTGACTCCCCCACCCAGCTGGGGTCCTCGTCCCGACCACCACCCCCCCTCCCCGCCACCGTCGAGGGAGAAGCCCCGGCGCGGAGGCTGCCCCACAACGCGAAGGACCGAGGCCGAGGGGGGCAGGCACCTGAGCCCCGAGAGGGCGGGCACCTGGGACCAGGGGCGCCTCCATCCTTCCAGCCAGGAGCCAATACCGACGCGGAGAGGGGCGGGCACCTCGCGCCCGGGAGGCTTCGCACCCTCACACCCCTACCGGGGGGCCCGACGCGATGCCACGCGGGGAGGCGGCGGCGGGCGGGGCCCGGGGTCCGGGTCGCGGAAGGACCCCCGGGAGGCGCTGAGGAACGTGAAAGAGGCGCAGGAACGGGAGGGCGAGAGGGAGGGAGCCGCCCCCCGCCGGGAGCCCCGCGCTGCAGAGGCGGCGGCAGGGGGCAGGCGAGGGGAGGCCATGTCGCGACAGACGGCGGTGTCGCCAGGGCGGGAGGCGGCGGGGAGGGCGGCCGATGGCGCCGGGGGGAGGAAGGGAAGGGGTCCGGCCCAGTCGAGCCTGACGCTCTCACCACAGGAGCTGGCGCCGCCGCTGAGGAGCGTATCGCGACAGGCGGGGGAGGCGAGCGCCCGCCGCCTTTTTCTCGCGCCCCGGGCCCGGGCGCTATCGCGATAGCGGCGCGAAGCGGAAGTGGGGTTGGGGGAGTGGGCCCGGGGTTGTTCTGACGACGGGGGTCGGGGCTCAAGGGAGGCCGCGGCGTCTGCCGATGGCTCCGCGGAAGCTGACCGGGCCCGGTCCAAGATGGCGGCGGCGGAGGAGGCCTCCCCTCCTCTCTTCTCGTCTCTGGCGCCGACCCGCCCCCGAGTCCCGAATATAGGCCAGTCATTGCTCCTGCTGAACGTCGCTCCTGACCCTTGGAGGCTTTCTATTGGTTCCTGGCAGGGATGCGCCCTGCCCCCTTTCGCGGATTGGGTGATCGCTCCAAGGCGCGGCGTTCGATTGGCCTCCCGCGCAGGCTGCTAGGATTGGCTCAGGTTTTCCTCCCCGCTCCTCCTCCTCCTCCCGCCTCAGGGCACAACACGCCAGCGCGAGGACCCGAACGTCAATCAAGAGACCTGTGTCGTGCTGATTGGATGTATCCGCCCCCCTCTCTTAAAACAATTGGTCTGGGGGAGGAGCTACGACAGTCCAGGGGCGGGAAGTCGTCCGTCAAGTTTAGAGCTCTTTTTAATTGGTTGCGGGGGCATATTCTGCCTTGAAGTCATTGGTTGGTCCTGGAAGTGGGTGGGGAAAGCGGAGGAAGGCATGGAGTGTGGGCGTTAGGGGCCGCGTACCTAATGGGAGACAGACAGGTGCCTTTAAAGCGGGGGCCGAGCCGAAGTCATCTGCCAATCAAAACAGCCACAGGGCCAAGTGGGAGGAGCTGGGCAAGAAAGTCCACCCCTTTTTCTTCGTTGGCCCTAAAAGTTATCATTCATGCTAGTTTGACCAATAGCGTGGCGAGTGGGCGGTAGCTGCTCGTAGAGCGTGTGAAAGAGGGTGTATGTAGCTGGCAGAAGTGGGACTTGGTCGCAACCGTTGCGTCCCGGCCAGGTAAGCAGCTTCCCTCTCAGCTGCCTCGTCTTTCTCCAAGTGCCTCTATGTTGGCACATCTCTGAAATTCATTATTTGCTGAGTGAAAGAAGAAAGGGACCAGAGACACTGCTTTAAGTCTCTGGCACCGTGCATAGCAGAATTGGTTGGGAAGCGTGAGGCATGGAGTTTTTGTCCTGCCCCTGCCTGGTTAGGCGACCAGATGGTAGGACAGTCATTCTCCTCTGCGTCTCCGCTTCCTTAGTGTGTTGAGGACGCTG
The DNA here is from genome assembly GCF_000001405.40 of Homo sapiens. Taxonomy (NCBI): domain Eukaryota; kingdom Metazoa; phylum Chordata; class Mammalia; order Primates; family Hominidae; genus Homo; species Homo sapiens. Next base: position 111,540 of record NW_003571054.1, on the reverse strand, counting down.
CAGAAGGTACAGAGGAGACGGGTGGCTCCCTAATGCCTGCTCGTTTCAGGTCTCAGCTCTGTTGTCTTCTTGGAGAGAAAACTTCCCTGACCTCCCTCCCGGGCGGAGCGCTCCTGCGCGCCTTGTTCGTTAGGATTTATTTTTGTACGTCTACCGTCATTTTCGTAATTATTCGGTTTCCCTGTCTGGATTTTGCATCTCCAGCACTTAGCACGCAGGAAGTAGTCAGTAACCATTTGTCAAAGGAATAGATGAATGAATGTGAGGAATGACTTGTGATTGAAAACTTACTAGACACTGAGACTTCCACGAACTGGGAGGCATTTGCCCAGGGTCACACAACCGAGATGGGAAGCCAGATTCGCCCCTTCCTGTCTAGGTGGTGGAAAGTAAGATAAATCCCAGGGAGAGGTGAACGTGAAGGAGGATGGAGCCGTTCAGCACCACCCGCATCAGAATGGTCTGAGGCAAGGGGGAGGAGGAATGCTTGCGAAAATGCATATTCGTAGGCCCACACACAGACAACGGGAATGAAGCCTAGAGTTATTGTTCTAGAGCTCTGCTATTCAAACTGTGGCCCCTGGACAAAGTATCGCTTCTCAGACATCTCCGGAATCACCTAGGAATGTGTTAAAATGCAAATTCTGCTTTTCTAACAAGTGCCGCAGTCCACGGTCCGCAGTTCACTTTGCACACCGCGGATCTAGCGATGACTTTCCAACTTGGCTGCACATCAGAGTCACCTGAGGAACTTGTTGTTATTGTTGTTGTTGTTGAGACGAAGACTTGCTCTTGTCCCCCAGGCTGGAGAGCAGTGGCACAATCTAGGCTCACTGCAGCCTCTGCCTCCCGGGGTTCAAGTGATTCTCCCGCCTCAGCCTCCCGAGTAGCTGGGATTACAGGCGCCCGCCACCACGCCCGACTAATTTTTGTATTTTTAGTAGAGACGGGGTTTCACCATGTTGGCCAGGCTGGTGTCGAACTCCTGACCTCAGGTGATCCGCTCGCCTCAGTCTCCCAAAGTGCTGGGATTACAGGCGTGACGACTGCGCCTGGCCTACCTGAGGAACTTTAAAAAAAAAAAATTTTTTTTAAATTAGAGGCCAGGCCGGGCCGGGAGAATCACTTGAACCCGGGAGGCAGAGGCTGCAGTGAGCCTAGATTGCGCCATTGCACCTGTAATCCCAGCACTCTCAGAGGCCGAGGTGGGCGGATCACCTGAGGTAGGGAGTTCAAAACCAGCCTGGCCAACATGGTGAAACCCCGTCTCTACTAAAAATACAAAAATTAGCTGGGCATGGTGGCATGTGCCTGTAATCCCAGCTACTCGGGAGGCTGAGGCGGGAGAATCACTTGAACCTGGGAGGCAGAGGTTGCAGTGACCCGAGATTGCGCCATTGCACTCCAGCCTGGGTGACAGAGCAAGACGCCGTCTCAAAAAATAAAAATAAAAAATAAAAAAGTCCAGATACCCAGGCTTACACTGGACCAACTAAAACGATCTTGAGGTGGGAGCCAGTGTCTCTCTCACCCAGGCTGGAGTGCAGGGGCGCCATCTCGGCTCACTGCAACCTCTGCCTCCCAGGTTCAAGCCATTCTCCCACCTCAGCCTCCCAAGTAGCTGGGATTACAGGCGTGAGCCACCGCGCCCAGCGTAAGAGCCGCTTACAGAGTCTTCTTTTCTAGAGCAGTGCTTCTGAAATGTGGCCTTGGGTCAGGCACGTACCCATCACCTGGGAACTTGTTTGAAAGGCACATTTTTGAGCCCCACCCTAGACTGAATCAGAAACTCTGGGCCCAGCAACTATGTTTTAACAAGTCCTCAGTGTAATTCTGAAGCGCATTAAATTCTGAGAACCTCTGTTCTGAAAGTACGAGGGCTGCAGGCCCAGGCGACTCAAGATTCCTTTCCTGAGATTGACACCCTCATGCCACAGCCCCATTGGTAGATGCCGGATATTTTGGCCAAGGGAGATGGGGGATTCTGAACAGGGTTGTGGACCACGGGTCCTTCCCTGGCAGACCAGTATGTAGAGATCAGCAAAGGTTGTCATTTTCAAACAGGGTTGACCCAGAGGGTCAGGGATAACATTGAGAAAACAGACTTGAGTTATACAACCTGGGGTAGTTCAGCCACTCAAGGGAACCTCCTGAGTGTGTCGACTTTTTGACTTGAGGAAGGAGAGAGATTTAGAGATTGCCACTGAGGTCCAGAGACAGAGCTCTGGGTTGAAGGACAGGGATCCAGAGATACACAGAGTGGTGACGGGGAGGCCCAGAGAGGGGAACAGAAAGAGCAAAATCTCAGACAGGACCTAGAAAGTCAGAGGGAGACCCAGATAGCATGAGCTGGAGAGAGGGAGGGAGAGAGAGAGAGGGAAGGTGGAGAGAGGGAGGGAGAGAGGGAAGGTGGAGAGAGGGAGGGAGGGAGGGAGAGAGGGGAGGTGGAGAGAGGGAGGGAGAGGGGAGGAGAGAGGGAAGGTGGAGAGGGAGGGAGAGGGAAGGTGGAGGGAGGGAGAGGGAAGGTGGAGGGAGGGAGAGGGAAGGTGGAGAGAGGGAGGGAGGGAGGGAGAGAGGGAGGGGAGGTGGAGAGAGGGAGGGGAGGTGGAGGGAGGGAGAGGGGAGGAGAGAGAGGGAGAGAGAGGGAAGGTGGAGTGAGGGGAGGTGGAGAGAGGGGAGGTGGAGAGGGAGGGAGAGAGAGAGGGGAGGTGGAGAGAGGGAGGGACAGAGAGAGGGGAGGTGGAGAGAGGGAGGGAGAGAGAGGGGAGGTGGAGAGAGGGAGGGAGAGAGAGGGGAGGTGGAGAGAGGGAGGGACAGAGAGAGGGGAGGTGGAGAGAGGGAGGGACAGAGAGAGGGGAGGTGGAGAGAGGGAGGGACAGAGGGAGGGGAGGTGGAGACAGGGGAGGTGGAGAGAGGGAGGGAGAGAGGGGAGGTGGAGAGGGAGGAAGAGAGAGAGGGGAGGTGGAGAGGGAGGAAGAGAGAGAGGGGAGGTGGAGAGAGGGAGGGAGAGAGAGGGGAGGTGGAGAGAGGGAGGGACAGAGGGAGGGGAGGTGGAGAGAGGGAGGGACAGAGGGAGGGGAGGTGGAGACAGGGGAGGTGGAGAGAGGGAGGGAGAGAGAGAGGGGAGGTGGAGAGAGGGAGGGAGAGAGAGGGGAGGTGGAGAGAGGGAGGGAGAGAGAGGGGAGGTGGAGAGGGAGGAAGAGAGAGAGGGGAGGTGGAGAGAGGGAGGGAGAGAGAGGGGAGGTGGAGAGAAGGAGGGAGAGAGAGAGGAGGTAGAGACCTGGAGGCATCATCTTCCCACCAGGCTGCTGCTTGTCCTGGTAACATCTCTTAGGTAACTAACAGAAGCCCGACCTTGTAGGTCAGGTGACTAGCGCTGCCTCCTTAGTACCACCGTGTAGCCCAGCTCCGGAGCACATAGTAAATGGAACCCCTGGAGTTGCTCTTCCTTAACCTCTCCAGGGAGACGGTTTCATGCCACCCGCTAGGACAGCCCCTGCTGTCCCCTGGAAACTCTCCTGACTGTCTGCAGGCCACATTCCCCTCAGTCCAAGTAAAGGCGCTCCTGGCCGAGCCCCGGTTCCCGAGACTCAGTGACTGGAGGTCAGGGGAGGGGAAGTGTGCTCCTTCTGCTCACCTGGCAGGACTTTTATAGCAACCAGGTCCTACCAGGGCAGGAAGCCTGCCTGCTTCGCCTGTGCCCGGCTCCACACAGTCCCTCAACACTGGTTATAAATAAGAGGCTGGGCCAGGCACAGGGTAATCCCAGCACTTTGGGAGACGAGGCAGGCGGATTATTTGAGGTCAGGAGTTCGAGACCAGCCTGGCCAACATGGTAAAACCCCATCTCGGCCGGGCGCGGTGGGTCACACCTGTAATCCCAGCACTTTGGGAGGCCGAGGCGGGCAGATCACAAGGTCAGCAATTCAAGACCAGCCTGGCCCAAATGGTGAAACCCCGTCTCTGCTAAAAATACAAAATTAGCCAGGCGTGGTGGCGGGCGCCTGTAATCCCAGCTATTCGGGAGGCTGAGGCAGGAGAATCACTTCAACCTGGGAGGCGGAGTTTGCAGTGAGCCAAGACCATGTCATTGCACTCCAGCCTGGGTGACAGAGCAAGACTCCGTCTGAAAAACAAACAAACAAACAAACAAACAAACAAAACCCATGGGCGCCTGTAATCCCAGCTACTCAGGAGACTGAGGCAGGAGAATCACCTGGACCCGGGAGGTGGAGGTTGCCATGAGCCAGGATCATCCCACTGCACTCCAGCCTGGGCAACAGAGTGAGATTCTGTCTCAAAAAAAAAAATAATAATAATAATAAGAGGCCAGACACAGCGGCTCAAGCCTGTAATCTCAACACTTAGGGAGGCTGAGGTGGAAAGCTCACTTGAGCACAGGAGTTCAAGCCCAGCCTGGGTAATAGAGCACGACCCTGTCTATAAACAATTTAAAAATGGGGCTGGGGTGGTGGCTCACACCTGTAATCCTGGCACTTTGGGAGGCTGAGGTGGGCATATCATGAGGTCAGGAGTTCGAGAACAGCCTGACCAACATGGCGAAACCCTGTCTCTACTAAAAACTATAAAAATTAGCGGGACATGGTGGCACATGCCTGTAATCCCAGCTACTCAGGAGGCTGAGGCAGGAGAATTGCTTGAACCCGGGAGGTAGAGGTTGCAGTGAGCCAAGATTGCACCACTGTACTCTAGCCTGGGCAACAGAGCGAGACTCCACCTCAGAAAAAAAAAAAAAATTTAAATTAACCAGGAGGCCAGCTGTGCTGGTTCATGCCTGTAATCCCAGCCCAGGAGTTTGAGGCTTTAGTGAGCTTCATCGCATCACTGTACTCCAACCTGGGCAACAGAGACCCCGTCTCTAAAAAACCCAATCATAACAGGACCTGGTTATAGGGCGCTGATGGCAAGTCCCATGCTAAGTGCTTTCTGTGCATTCTTTCCAGTCCTGGGCACCTGGGCGTAGGTGTGGAGGCTTGGAAAGGTGAGGAGGCTGGCCTGAGGTGGACAGCAATCCCGGTCGGCCTGCGCTGAGATCTGCGGCTGTTGGCAGCCACATCATTTGCTATCAAAGTGACTGCGGCTCTCCAGGGGGTTGGAGAGGGCTTTTTCCTTCTGGGATCCCATGACGAGAAAGTAACGGGGAAGGGAGTGGGCCTAGACACCGCTTGGACCCGAGGGCCAAGCTCTTTTCTCAAAGCTCCACAGCTCTGATTCTTCTAGTTGCCCCGGCTGTTTGAAAAATGATCACTCCCCAAGGACAGATCTTGACAATGTCCTTTTAATTGTACTCTTTTCAAAAAATCTCCTTTCTCAGTTAAAAAAGACAAGGCATGATGAAGACCTGCTCTAGCCCATACTGGGCGGTGATCTCGGTCCTGGGGGAGGCCAGGCCGGACTCTTCCAAGGCCTCCTCCCTGGGCAGTCCCAGCAATGGGGCCAGTGGCAGGGCAGGTTCTCCCTGCCAGAACCCGATCCTAGCCCTTCAGAAGGACTGGACCTCTGTGTCCCTTCAGTGGGAAGCCACCTTGGACACACGCAGTCATTCAGGTGGACATAAGGCCACTCTTCTCGCCCTTGACCTTGAGGAACTCAGCCATGCTGGAGAAATACTTCTGGTTGGCCTCAGCCACCTTCTTCTCTGCCGCCTGTGGGTTCACAATCTCCAGGCCCTGGGCAGGTGAGGGAGAGAGGATGATGGGTTAGGTGAGGAGAAGGCCCCAACTGTGACCCATCAGAGCCCCCCAGGCCCTTCCCCATGGCACTCAGGCCTTGGTGGGCATGAGACAGTTTGCCTGTCCCTGGAGTTGCCCTGTCTTGGGAGATTCTGACTCAGTGGGTCTAGAGGGAGAGGGTGGGGAGGAACCAGGGCGCCTGGATTTGTACGAAGTTCCTCAGGGGTGCTAAAAACAACCAATGCTTGAGGACAGCCAATCCTGCCCAGTTTCTGCATAAGGAAACTGAGTCCCTGGGGGACATGGCTGGCCCGAGGTCCTAGCACAAATCACACCAACACCACTGACGATCATAGTGGCAGCAATGGGAGCCAACACCTGGCTGGCACTTCCTAAATATTTTCAAGGCAACAGAGCGAGCCCCCGTCTCTAAAAATAATAACAGGACCCAGTCATTGGGCTCTAATGGTGAGCCCAGTGCCAAGTGCTTCCTGTGCGTTCTTTTCAGTCCTGAGCACCTCATGATGGAGGAGGGGAGGCTTGGAAAGGCACAGCCACTGGCCTCATCTTCTCAAAGAGGCCCTCCCTGGCTGCTCCGAAACGAGAGCCTCCCCTGTCCCACCTCCTACCTTCCACCTCCTCCCCTCCCTGGCATTTCTGCCTTCTTTTTTTTTTTTTTGAGACAGAGTCTGGCTCTGTCGCCCAGGCTGAAGTGCAGTGGCGCGATCTCGGCTCACTGCAAGCTCCGCCTCCCGGGTTCACGCCATTCTCCTGCCTCAGCCTCCCAAGTAGCTGGGACTACAGGCGCCCGCCACCACGCCCGGCTAAGTTTTTGTATTTTTAGTAGAGACGGGGTTTCACCGTGTTAGCCAGGATGGTCTCGATCTCCTGACCTCATGATCCACCTGCCTCGGCCTCCCAAAGTGCTGGGATTACAGGCGTGAGCCACCGCGCCCGGCCTGGCATTTCTGCCTTCTACTACACTGGGCATCTTACTGAGCTGTCTGCGCCCAGCCTGGCATTTCTGCCTTCTCCTACACTGGACATCTTACTGAGCTGTCTGCGCCCGGCCTGGCATTTCTGCCTTCTCCTACACTGGACATCTTACTGAGCTGTCTGCGCCCGGCCTGGCATTTCTGCCTTCTCCTACACTGGACATCTTACTGAGCTGTCTGCGCCCGGCCTGGCATTTCTGCCTTCTCCTACACTGGACATCTTACTGAGCTGTCTGCGCCCAGCCTGGCATTTCTGCCTTCTCCTACACTGGACATCTTACTGAGCTGTCTGCGCCCGGCCTGGCATTTCTGCCTTCTCCTACACTGGACATCTTACTGAGCTGTCTGCGCCCGGCCACCCACTGGCTCCAAGAAGGTAAGACTTGTCTCTCATTCGTTGCTTCATCCCCAGAGCCGGGAACACTGACAGAACTCAGCAGGTGCTGCGTAGACACCCGCTGACTGGGCAGATGAGCTCGCTGCTGTCTCGCCTCCGTGGTGCAGGCTCGCCCTGCTCTGTGGATGGTAAACCGAGGCTCCGACGATGCGGTGACTGCCATGCTCCACGCTGCTCACTGCTGACTGGCTGGGGCCTGGACCCACACTTGACATCCAAGCCCGCCTAGCCGGGAACTTTCTCGAGTGGGGTCCTGAGGTTACCTTAACCGTCCTGGCCGTTTTGAACTGGAGGGCCTGGAGGCTGAGCAGTGTTACCCGCTCACAGCCCGACAGAGGAACTGGGTGCCCTGAACACAGCTGTGGGCCTGGTTCTAAAGCAGTGCGTGCTCACGAGGACTGCTCAGCGCTGGGCTCTCGTCTCTGCTAACCTCTTCCTGTGTGCCAGGAGCTGTCTACGTCCTCTGCATACCTCGTCACCACACCCTCCACAACAGCCCCATGAGGAGACTCATCCTGGCCTTCTTCACAGGGGCAGAGGGCAAGGGGCCTTGCCAAGGTCTCAGGGCTGGGGACAGAGCCGGCCCAGGGGAGGTACCTGGAGTGGGGTGAAGGCCACGCTGGAGGCCGTGCCCGAGGAGCGGTCGCGGATGGTGGACTTCCCGCCATATACGACGCTCTGCTTCTGCAGGGTCCGCTGTGGGGAGGACAGGGAGGCTGCGATCTGGGCTCCCCCCACCTTGTGTCCCTCGGTCCCCAGCCCCACCTGGGTCTGGCCCATACCTGCAGCGTCTTGGAGATCCTGGCCTTGGTGGCCTCGTTTACCTGTGTCTGCCGCACACGCCCACTGCCCGACTTGCCCAGGTGGCCCAGGCTGAATCCCAGGTCCTCCTGGTAGGCGTCCTCCTCGATCTAGGGGGAAGAGGAGGCGCCCTGCAGTTCAGCGACCAGGCCCTGCCCTCCAGCCACCGAGGCACCCCCTCCACCAGCCGGAAGCCCAGCGGTCACCAGCCGGCCGGTCCCACGGGCACCTGCTCCGGTACCCACTCGGCCCGGCTGAGGCCTGGGGGCCCACACACGCGGGGGATGCCGGGGAGCCTGAGAGGGGCCCGGTCCCAGCACTGCTCTGTGAGCTCAGAGTTGGGAGGCCATTCCTTCCTTACTCGTGTGGGTCGGGGGATGTCAGGAACCAGAACAGGTTTAATAGGATGAGGTGGCCTCTGAGTTCGGTCCTGCAGGACCAAGGGGATGACGCTGGGATAACAGAGGAGACTGGCGGGGCCCAGGGACGGGGCGGCCGTGCAGCAGGGCACTAAGGAGCCTCTGGGCAGGGAGGAACCGGCCAAGGAGCCCGGGGCGATGGGAAGCCGCGGGGGCTCTAAGCAGCGGAGACACAGGCTCCAAGGGCCGCGAGGGTCGCTTTGGGGCTGAATGGATGGAAACGAGAATAGAGGCCGGGGGGGAGGAGGCTGGGGCAGCGCCCTAGACATGAGCCAGGGCCACAGGACGAGAGGAGGGGCGGTGGCAGGAGGCAGAGGGCGGTGGCGGCTGGCTGGCTGTGGGGTTGAGGAGGGCGCTCTGGGAGTCTGACCTCTCCGAAGCTCATACGGTTGGCCTGCTTCCGGATCTCCGTCAGCCCCAGCCGCTCCTTCATCTTGCGGTACCTGGGGACGGGTGGGTGGGCGGCGCCAGGGAGTCGGCTGGGAGGAGGACGCCGGCTTCTCCCCTCCATGACCCCCATGCCTACCGGACCCCCAGGGCCCCTCACCTGCGGCCGCCTCGCTTCTTCCGCTGTCCATCCAGGGGCGCAGGCAGCGGCTTCACCTGCTTCACAGGCGGCGGCTCCTGCCACTTGTCGAATTTGCGCTCGATCTCATCCTTCAGTTCGTAGCCCACCTGGGGAGGGCGAGGGGGAGGTCCTGCAGCTGCTCGCGTGGGCTGCCCACCCAGGCCTCCTCTGAGCGGACCCCCCGAGTATCCACGTGCCTTAGTTAAATCAGCACCTAATGCTGCCTCACCGCCACCCCCTTTCTTTTTCTTCTTGGTGTTGACTTAGCACCGCTAGACGCAGGACAGAGTTCACCTGTTGACTGTCTCTTTGACCCGGCCCCAACAAGAATGTCCACGCCACGGGGCAGGGGTCCTGTCTGTGCTACTCACAGCTGCACCCCCACACCCAGACCAGGGGTGAGATGGGGAGAGGGAAAGGAGAAGGGGACACGGAACACCTGAACGCTGTGCCAGGCCGGGTGCTTGGCAAACGACAGTTCACAAGACAGAAAACGTCTCCTCTCCCGAGTACATCTACCAAGGAAGACAGAAGGTAACTGAATAATTACTTGAATAACATCCCCTGTTGCAGCGGGGACAGATCCTGGTGTGGAAGGCAAATTACGCCCCCACCAACACACACATGCCCAAAGAGGCCCATGTTCTAATTCCCAGAATCACAGGGCAAAAGGGACGTGAAGAGGTTAAGAAGGATTTTAAGGATTGTGAGCTGGGAAGACTATCCTGGACCATCTGAGTAGGCTCAGTATAGCCACAGGGGCCCTTAAAATAGAAGAGGGGAACAAAAACAGAGGCCGAGATATGAAGACAGAAGCAGAGTCAGAGAGAGGTCTGAGGGTGCTATGTGGCTGGCTCCGCAGACAGAGGGAGGGCCACGAGCTAAGGGGTGCCAGTGACCCCTAGAAGCTGGAAAAGACAAGGGAATGGATTATCCCTTGAATCCCCCAGAAGGAACGCTCCAGGATGACACCCTGACTTCAGCCCAGTGAAACTCATTTTGGACTTCTGACCTACAGGACCACAGATAATAAACCTGTACTGTTTTTTGTTTTTGTTTTTAGATGGAGTCTCGCTATGTCACCCAAGCTGGAGTGCAATGATGCAATCTCAGTTCACTGCAACCTCCGTCTCCCAGGTTCAAGCAATTCTCCTGCCTCAGCCTCCTGAGTAACTGGGATTACAGGTGCGTGCCACCACACCCGGCTAATTTTGGTAGAGATGGGGTTTCACCATGTTGGCCAGGCTGGTCTCAAACTCCTGACCTTGTGACCCGCCCACCCTGGCCTCCCAAAGTGCTGGGATTACAGGCGTGAGCTACTGCACCCGGCCACACCTGCACTGTTTGAAGCCAGTAGGTTCATGCTACCTTCCAACAGCAGACCTAGGAAACCCCACTGGGGAAGGGGGTGCCTGACCCCAGGGAGGGTGGGCAGAAGCACTGCCTCCGCCTTGGTAGGACAGTGCTCGCTGGGGTGGGCTCCCTGCTGAGGGTCTCCCTGCAGAGACACCCCAGGCCCAGAGGAAAAGACGCCCGGCCGCCCCTCACCTTTCCCTCCTCACCTTCCCTTCTGTGCTCTCGTGGAAACTGTCCACACGGGCTGCCAGTGTGCACTTGGCGGCCACCAGCCGGGCCGCTTTCCGCCGCAGATCCTGGAGCAACGGAAAACGGGGGTGGAATCTGTGTGAGACAGACAGACAGAGGTAACAGCAAAGCAACCGCGCGCGCTCCTCCTCTGGCTCTACCTGGGGTCCTGGAAGGGGGCTTTCCACCCTTGGGCTCTAGAGGTGTGTGCTCTCAGCTCCTACTTCACAGGAAGAGGGGATGAGGGCAGGGCACAGAGCCATGTCCCAGCTGATAAGTGGCCATCAGGTAAGGATGACAGTAAGGCACGCTGACAACGAGGACGGTGGTGACTGTGGAGACGCCGGGGGGAGTGCACTCGGCCTGGATGCCAGCCCCATGCTAAGCACGCCCCTCGGATCATCTCATCAAATATTCAAATATTGGGCTGGTGTGATCATTGCACCCCCTTTTCAGATGTGGAAACCAAGGCTTCAAGTCATGTGGCCAGGGAGACAGCCAGCAGGTGATGGAGCCAGGGTTCCAATCCAAACTGCAAACAGAGCCCAGCTGTCAGCCACAGTGAAGCGATGGCCAGCCCTGGCCTCCCTTACAGGCCTGTGGTGTCTACGGCCTGTGCCTGGACCGATGTGAGATGGCCAAATGAAGAGGCAGAGGCCTGGGTGACAAGACATCAGGCTCCCTGGGGCAGGTTTAACCCATATGCCCAGGGCTGTGAGGCGGTGGCGATGGCAGGGGTGCAGTGAGGCAGCTGGAGCCCCGAGCCCCAGGCCCACCCGTCCTGGGTTCTATCGCCCACTCTCTCTCCTCCCAGGATGGGGTGACCTGCCAGCCTCCCTGGGTGTGTTCCAGTAGCAGTGCCTGACCTAAAGGGTCGCAGAAAAGACCACAAAAAAAACCCCACACAGGGCTGGGGGGTGGGGCCAGGAAGTGCCTGCCCAGCCTTGGCCATCAGTGCTATTGTTCTCCCCATCCCTGGGGGAGGCCAGGCAGGGCACAGGGCCGTGAGCCTGAGGTAACTCGCCACAGTCGGACAGAGCAGGGTCTGGACCCAGGCCTGTCTGTCCCAGAACCTGTCTTGTTTTTTTTTTTTTTTGAGACAGAGTCTCACTCTGTCACCCAGGCTGGAGGGCAGTGGTATGATCTTAGCTCACTGCAACCTCCACCTCCTGGGTTCAAGCGATTCTCCTGCCTCAGCCTCCCAAGTAGCTGGGATTATAAGTGTGTGCCACTATACCCAGCTAGTTTTTTGTATTTTTGGTAGAGATGGGGTTTCACCATGTTGGCCAGGCTGGTCTCGAACACCTGACCTCAGGTGATCTGCCCGCCTCGGCCTCCCAAAGTGCTGGGATGACAGGCACGAGCCACTGCGCCCCGCCAGGCTAGCGGGCCTGTGTGTGTGCTGTCAGGCGTCGATGCTGGGATGGTGATGTGTCCCGACTGCAGGGAGAGGACCCGGGAAGCTCCGAGGTTGGTGACCTCTCCTGCCCCTCCTGTGTGTCTCTCCCCATGGCTGATGTGCAGCCCTCAGTGGATTCTGTGAGTCTTTCTAGTGAATGGTCAAACCTGAGGGTGGTCTTCGGAGCAGTTGCACGCTAACCCGACGCTGCTTGTCGTGAGCTAGGCCTGAACTGTAAGTGCTTCATGTGCACTGAGCCCTCGTCCCAACTCATGAAGCAGGCGCTGTGCTCCCATTTGATAGGGGAGGAGACTGAGGCACAGGGCGCTCATGCCTCTTGCCCACAGTCACCTGACTGGTGGGTGCTGGAGCTGGTCTGCTGCAGAGCCCTGGCTCTCACGTCCCATGCCACCCTGTTCCCAGCTCCTGAGTGCTACCGTCAGCTGGGCCAGATGGTGGGTGGCTGCTCAGGCTGTCTGGGCACAGCGGAAGGCTCCAGGGGGGCCGGGGGAGGGGCCATGACGCAGTGGGCTCACCGGTGGCAGGGACTGCACGATGTCACTGTGGTAGATGTAGCCGGTGTGGGGCAGCACTGAGGTAGACGAGAAGCCCGACAGCGTCTTGCGCTGGGCCCCGAGCAGCATGATGTTGCAGGCGGGCATCTTGGAGAGGTTGGTCAGGCCGCCGGCCACACCTGCGGTGGGAGGGAGGGAGGAAGGGGGGGCGGTCAGAAGAAAGCAGAGAGGTGGGGGTGAGTAAATCTGCCTGGGGGCTCGACGTGTGCTGGGCACCTTTACATGAAGTTCTGGTTGGATTCCTCGATGGCCCTGCCAGGCGGGCGACCTGGCCCATTCCGCAAGGGGCAGATGCAAAGGAGGCTCAGAGAGGGAGGGCAGCTGGCCTGGGGGTGCAGGGAGGAGGCCCCCAACAGGAAGCTGACCACCACGTTTGTGCTAAGCCACACTAACGCCGTTCCAGGGATGGCTGTGTTTTGGAACCATTTTCACCAAACCAGGAGCTCCCTGACAACAGGGCCTGGGTGTGGTCATCTCTGGGTTTCCGGCACAGGGGAGGGAGAAGGAGCTGTGGGTGAGTGTTTTTCCCACAGACGAGGCTTTGCTGTGTGCCAGGCTGGCTGACCTCTGTGATGTCCAGGGAGACGGGGTGCTGAGGTCCAGGTGCCAAAGCCCCCATTCTACAGAAAAGGATGTAGCTTTCCCAAGGTCACAGTGTCAGCAGACCCCCGCTCCATGGGACCCAGCCCGGGGACTCACCCATGATCTTGGCGGCCGTGGATGCCCCGATAATGATGGACAGGTTGGGTGCGATGAAGGACATCCGGGACTCCACATACTCGTAGATGCGGTGCTTGGAGGCGTTCAGCTCCAGCGCCATGTCGCAGGCCTCCTCCAGCCGCTCCAGCTCCTCCTCCGACAGCTGCTGCCTGCAGGGGCGGGTGGGCCCAGCCTCCTGGATCTCCCGCCTGCCTGGTGTGCCCAGCCCCAGCCCTCTCGGTTCTGTGTGTGTGTGTGCATGTGTGTATGTGTGTGTGCGTGTGTACACCTGCGTGTGTAGCTCCAGCCTAATCCCCAATCCCATTAGGGCCCGGCGCCTCCCTCGAAGCGGACATACCCCTGGGTGGTGGAGGCGGTGACGCTGACGACCATGATGGTGGCATTGGTGAGGATCTGCTGCAGGTTCTCATTGTTCTTGCACTTGTCCAGGCTGTTGCCCAGCTCCTGGGGGCGAGCAGAGAAGATAGGGGAGGCTCGGGAACTCAGGAAGGCTCGAGAACCTCTCTTGCTCAGCACCTCCTCAGGTCTCTTCTTAGGGACACTGGGACAGTCAGGGTCTCTGCACTGGGGGCCTCTCCTGCCTCCACCGCCTGAAGCATCCACACCATTCCTGCCTCCACCACGTCAAGCATCCACACCATCTGCCCTGCTTTCGCTGACCTGGAAACGGAGCCCGGGCAGAGTGGCGTCTGGAAAGACTGTGGCCTCACAAGCCTCTGGCCTGCGTCAAGTCGGAGTGCAAATCCGCGGCCTCGCTTCCCTGCAGGGGCTTCCCCACCGCCATCCTAATCCTTTCCTGGACATGCGTGGGGACCTCCTCCTCTCCCCGCCCTCACGCACACCTGCCCCTCTTTTCCGAAACCCTTCCTTGGCTTTCTCCTAAGACCCAAAGGCTGGACGTGATCCGACCTCTTCCCCGTCCCCTCCTTCCCCGCCTCACTTCCTCCCCACTTGTTCCCTCTCCAGCTCTCTGCACTTAGACGTCTCTCTGCCCCAAATCTCCGTGTGCCTGCCCTGTGTCAACCTTCGGATGTCAACTCCAATGCCACCGGCTCCAACCACAGCGGGAGCAGCGTGGGTCAGGCCAGCGGGGAAGCCCTCTCGGGAGACTGGGGTTGGAGGGGAGCCCTGAGAAAGTCCTGTCCAGGCTCCGTCCCTCCCACGCTGGGCAGAGCAGACCACTGAGCCCTCGTCCACTCCTCTCCATCGTCTCCAGACCCTGAGGCCTCTGGGAGGGGGTCCGAGAGTGAGCCCCGCCTGCCCCTTCACGCCAGCAGAAGCACCCCACCTTCTCTGCGCTCACCTTGACCGTGCGGATGTAATCCAGTGCATTGGGGACCAAGGACTCCAGTTCAGGGAATCTCTTTGAGTACTTATCCCGGATGAACTTATGGATGATGTCTAGGGTAAACGGGACAGGAGGTTGTCGGGTGAGATGGAAGGTAGACTCTGCTGGTTGGCCCTAACACCCATGTCCCCTTCTTCCTTTAGTAACTGAAGCCCTGGCTTGTGGCCTGGCACACGGGCACCAGCATACAGCCTTTCTCAGCCGTCCTTACCGCTAGGTGTGACCAGGGGAATTAGTTCTGGTCTGTAAAACGTGAGCTGCAGTGACATGTTCTTAAAGAAAAGAAGCGCCTTGCTGGTGGGAATGCGGAGGTGATGGCTGGAGGTGGGGCAGTCACCTCGCACCGTGAGGCAGGTGGCCGACCAACAGGATGGAAAGAGCCGGGGCCCTACAGGCAGCCAAGCGGCCACACCATCCCCGAGTGCTCCTCAGACTCATACGCGAGAGAACGCACTTCCTTCTTATTTCAGCCACTCTGTGACAGCAGGTCAACCTCGATCTGAGCTTGGGCTTAGGGGCAGGACCCTGGGAAAGGCCAGTGGGGAAGGGAGAGGGGGCGTGAGGGACGTCACACGGGGCTGTCTCCGCCTGCCCCCCAGCACTCACTCAGCTCGTTTTCGATCTCCACGGTCAGGTTGTTGGCATCCACGATGACGCGGTATTCAGGCGCGGCCTCCACTGGTCCCATCACTGTGAGGACACGGAGGCATGGGTGTGAGTATCTAAATCCCTACCCCCTCTCGGGTCCCGCAGCTGGAGGAGGCGGAGGATGAAGTTGGGAGGGGTCAGGAAGGAGGGGCTGAAGAGTAAACCAGGGACAGGCTGATGTCTGCAGACATCCCTGAACTTGTGTTCCTGCCTTCAATCCCTCTCCCTCCACACCAGTCTAGACTTGACCCCATCTACCCCAGAACTGACCGTGTGAAACCTCCTACGGCTCCCCACAGCCCCAAGGCTAATGACCGAGTCCTCAGACTGACATTCAGGGCCTCCCCAACTCCGGAAGCTCTGCAGGGACCAGTGCTGTGCCTGCGTTGGCTGTACCCACAGCCGAGTACCCAGGACAGCACCTGGCACACAGGGAGTTCCCCCGTTCCTGTTTGCTGACTCAGCAGCTCTGCAGTCTGGCCTCCCGCCCTTCCCGCCCCATCCTCTCACCACACCTCATTTTATTCCACTCCAGCCATAAAGGAGTGATCACAGTGCCCCAGACACCCACTCCTCCTAGCCTTTTTTTTTTTTTTTGAGACATAATTTCGCTCTGGTTGCCCAGGCTAGAGTATAGTGGCATGATCTCAGCTCACTGCAACCTCCGCCTCCTGGGTTCAAGCGATTCTCCTGCCTCAGCCTCCTGAGTAGCTGGGATTACAGGCATGTGCCACCACGCCCGGCTAATTTTTTTTGTTTGTTTGTATTTTTAGTAGAGACGGGGTTTCACCATGTTGGGCAGGCTGGTCTCGAACTCCCGACCTCAGGTGATCCATCTGCCTTGACCACCCAAAGTGCTGGGATGACAGGCGTGAGCCACCGCGCCAGACCCCTCCTGGCCTCTGCATGTGCTGCTCCCTCTCCCCAGAGCATCCCTTACCCCACGTCTGTTTCTGGAAAACGCTTCTTTGTGCTTTAGTAATAAGAGGTCAGGCACAGTGGCTCATACCTGTAATCCCAGCACTTTGGGAGGCTGAGGCAGGAGAACTGCTTGAGCCCAGGAGTTGGAGAGCAACCTGGGCGACATAGGGAGACCCCATCTCTACACATAATTAAAGAAAAAAAATTAGCCAGGCATGGTGGTGTACACCTGTGGTCCCAGCTGCCTGGGAGGCTGAGGCAGGAACGCCTGAGCCCACAAGGTCAAGGCTGCAGTGAGCTGGGATCGTGCCACTGCATTCTGGCCTGGGTGACAGAGTGAGACCCTGTCTCAAAAAACAAACAAACAAAAAGATGTTGTGTTTAAAAGTCATGCAAATACTAACTGCCTGATGTCACAGCCAGTAGAAGGCAGAGCTCAGATCTGACACCAGGCAGGGCGGCGTCAGAGTCTGCACTCCTAACCCTGATGCTCAAATGGCTCTTTAAGTCCTTAAGACTCAGGCAGCGACTCAGAATCCTTCCCTCCCTTTCTGGAAGGATCAGACGCCTCCTCTGTGTACCCGCAGCACTTGTGCACCTCCAGTAAACAGGGACTGCCACAGCTTGTGAGATGTTTCACCTCTGCCTCCTCAACCAGACACCGGGTGTGACGGGGTCTGACTCCATCCCTGAGCCTGGCCTGACATCAGGAAATGTCACTTTCTGTGTCCCATAACCCTCTGGAGGGAGAAATTCCTTGGCCTGGCATCTGGAACTCTGCAGGATTCTCTCTCCGGATATCTGAGGCCCCGGGCCTGCCGCTGTCTTTCCCTGGGCCCCCTTCTCCCTTTCTTTGCCTGGCACATGCATTCATGCTCTACAGTCCAATTCAGCTATCGATTCTTCCTGACACCTGGGGCAGGGTCAGCCAGTCCCTCCTGTGGCTCCGGTGTCCCCAGCTTGGTACCACCACTGATAGCTGTCTGGAACCTGGCCTGCCTCTTCCACTAGACCTTGAGTACTTTGAGAGCAAAGACCTGGGCGATTCAACTGGGTGCCCAGGTAAACGTTAAAGAAAGCAAGCAGTGAGTCTCCCGAAACTCTGCCCTCTCACTACACTTCTTTCCCCAGAAACCTCCTATGGCTTCCTGTCATCAACAAATTCCATTCAAGAAGAATGGGAAGGCTGGGCGTAGTGGCTCATGCCTGTAATCCCAGCACTTTGGGAGGCCGAGGTGGGCGGATTACTTGAGGTCAGGAGTTCGAGACTAGCCTGGTCAACATGGTGAAACCCCATCTCTACTAAAAAATACAAAATAGCCAGGCATGGTGTTGCATACCTGTAATCCCAGCTATACATAAGGCTGAGGGAGGAGAATCGCTTGAACCCGGGAGGTGGAGGTTGCAATGAGCCAAGAACACATCACTGCACTCCAGCCTGGGCGACAGAGGGAGACTCTATCTCAAGGAAAAAAAAAAAAGAATAGGAATGGTAACAGGACTGCCCTCTTAAGAGTGAGTCTGAGCACTCATGAGATAAGCTAGTGTTCTCTCAATTTGGGCATGAGAAAAGGTTTTAGGTTATTTTTTTTTTTTTTGAGACGGAGTCTTGCTCTGTCGCCCAGGCTGGAGTGCAGTGGCACGATCTCGGCTCACTGCAAGCTCCGCCTCCCAGGTTCACGCCATTCTCCCGCCTCAGCCTCCTGAGTAGCTGGGACTACAGGCACCCGCCACCACGCCTGGCTAATTTTTTGTATTTTTAGTAGAGACGGGGTGTCACCGTGTTAGCCAGGATGGTCTCGATCTCCTGAACTCATGATCCACCTGCCTCCGCCTCCCAAAGTGCTGGGATTACAGGCGTGAGCCACGGCGCCCGGCCTTAGGTGGTTCCTAAATAATTATATATCTATTTTTATACAGTGACTTTGTCTTTGCCAAATGATACCAGTTTTCCATTCATGGTAGCAATTTGCTTCCTTCTCAGATAAATTTAAGAAAAAAAGTCCTAGACTCAAAGAATATGTTAAGCAAATAATAGGATAAGCGGCTTATAGATGTGGCAAAAACCCTGTAACCGGTCATGTGAATCAGTGAAGTCTGGGAAACCTCAAGCTGAGTCCTATCATGATCAGTAAGCTCAGCACACAGGAAGGACTTAAGAAGCATGAGCTTTACAATGCAATATATATTTAGTGGAAAAGGGAACGGGTTGGGGTGAAACAAAAAAAAAAGAAGGCTCTGGAAAAGGCTGAGAAGGAGATATACCCAGCCACAAGCAGCCAGGGAGCCAGGGGGCCTGGCAGGAGAGACAGGAGATGGGGAGGGGCACAGAGTGGGAGGAAGCACCTTCTGAAGCTTTGGCTTGCTTGCTGATATACTCCTCAATCTTCATCATAATCTCAGCAAACTGTAGGAAAGGAGAAGACAGTCAGAATCCAGCACTCTTCAAAAAGAAGCCTGTATCACCCCCTTCTGGGAGATTCTGTCTAGAGCCCCCTGCTAGGAACACCTCTTGTCCTCTTACCATCTTACTATCCCATAGCTTGGCGATGGTCTTGACTGAATCCCCGGAAAGATCCAGCTGTGTCTCCTCCTGCACATCCTCGATCGCTGGCTCCTCTTCTTCCTCCCCATAGCTTCCTCCTTCCTCCTCTTCTGCTGCCTCTTCGAGATCAGCTAAGAGCTCATCTGCCAGAGACATCCCGAGGCCTGGGGAGGGACAGCAGCGTTCCCTAAAAACTTGCCCCGACAAAGTCCCTCCTTATTACTGAGCGATGATTCTCCCCCAGAAGACCCTGGTCCTTCTTTATCAACCCCACTAGCATGCAGGCTCCACGACAACAGGTGCTTTAGTTTGTTTTGTTCACTGGCGAGTCTCCAGCTCCGACCTGTGCAAGACGCAGCACACCCCTATGACCGCCACCTTGCTAAGACTTACTGGAACCAAGTGGTGTAGATTCCAAATGCATTTGCAAACTTTCTTATTCCTTTCTTGCCTTTAGCCTTGAAAACATACTTTGAAATTCTTTGTTTCCCTCCTTTCCCACTAGATACTGTCTTGCACTGCTGGCTTATCTATGTGCTTACTTAGAAGTTCCAGGGGCTAATCTTTATTTATTTATTTTTTAAAGATGGAGTCTGGCTCTGACACCCAGGTTGGAGTGCAGTGGCGCAGTCTTGGCTCACTTGCAACCTCCACCTCCTGGGTTCAAGCGATTCTCCTGCCTCAGCCTCCTGAGTAGCTGGGACTACAGGCACCTGCCACCATGCCCAGCTAATTTTTTTTTTTTTTTTTTGTAGAGTCAAGGTTTCACTATGTAAGCCAGGCTGGTCTTGAACTCTTGACCTCAAGTGAGCGACCCACCTTGGCCTCCCAAACTGTTGGGATTACAGGCGTAAGCCACCGCGCCTCGCCGCAGGGGCTAATCTTGAAACAAACTAGGTATGGAAACCCAGCTGCAAAACTCCAGAGATCACCTCAAGGCGATCAATCTACAACGTGGCCATTGTTGACTTGACACCAGCCCATGCTCCAGGTGGCCCGTGACTCAAGACAGCCTTCGGAGCAAGACACACATACCTTGTACCCAGCACCACTCCTGTATGCCTCCCATTCAAAGTTCCCCTTTTTAAGCCCCTCTCCCCAGCCTAAAGCTTGAAATGGTCTTCTAAAGACATTAGCTTGGCCATTTCTCATCTGCGAGCATTTGATCAGTAAAGCTGCTTTACTTTCACCACCCCCCACTTCCTCTGCCTCTGAGTAGCAGAAACTTGAGTTGGTTACATTATCGGTCTCTTCCCGCCTCCAGGTCTTTGTACAGGAGTCCCTTGTAACTAAAGTGGCCCTTTCCTTCACTTTGTTTTTTCTTTTCTTTTCTTTTTTTTGAGACCATGTCTTGCTCTGTCACCTAGGCTGCAGTGCAGTGGCGCCATCATAGCTCACGGCAGCCTCGATCACCTGGGCTCAAGCGATTCTCCCGCCTCAGCCTCCCGATAGCTGAGATGACAGGCACGCACCAGCACGCCCGGCTAATTTTTAAATTTTTCTGTAGAGACAGGGTCTCACTGTGTTGCTCAGGCTGGTCTCAAACTCCTGGGCTCAAGCGATCCTTTCGCCTGGGCCACCCAAAGTGCTGGGATTACAGGAGTGAGCCATGGCGTCTGGCTCTCCTCACTTCTTAGTAGCCCAGCATCTCCTCAGCCTTCAGCTCTCACGTTCCACCTCCCTGACCCACACGCCCCACTCTAGACTACAGGAGGTTGCTTTGTGATAACGTGTCCCGCACGCTCTGCGTGTCTACAGTAAGGCACTTCACACATTTGTGATTAATGAAGTAATTATTTGATAAAGCCTGTCTGCCAGGCATCAACCAAAGCTCTAAGAGGGTAGCGAACAATTTTTGCTCCTTCCACATCCCCAGGGCCACACCATGGTAGGCGCATATTAAGACTTTTGGGTAAACAGGCTGTAAAAGGCCGGGAGCGGTGGCTCATGCCTGTAATCCCAGCACTTTGGGAGGCCCAGGCGGGTGGATCATCTGAGGTCAGGAGTTGGAGACCAGCCTGGCCAACATAGTGAAACCCCGTCTCTACTAAAAATACAAAAAACTAGCCGGGCGTGGTGGTGCGCGCCTGTAATCCCAGCTACTCGGGAGGCTGAGGCAGGAGAATCGCTTGAATCCGGGAGGCGGAGGTTGCAGTGAACCGAGATCGCGCCACTGCACTCCAGCCTGGGCAACAAGAGCGAAACTCCGTCTCAGACAAAACAAACAAACAACTGGCCAGGCGCGGTGGATCATGCCTGTAATCACAGCACTTTGGGAGGCCGAGGCGGGCGGATCACGAGATCAGGAGTTCGAGACCAGCCTGACCAACATGGGGAAACCCCGTCTCTACTAAAAATACAAAAATTAGTCAGGGGTGGTGGCGGGCGCCTGTAATCCCAGCTACTCTGGAGGCTGAGGCAGAAGAATCGTTTGAACCCGGGAGACGGAGGTTGCAATGAGCCGAGATCGCGCCACTGCTCTCCAACCTGGGCAACAGAACGAGACTCCGTCTCAAAACAAACAAACAACAAAAAAACAAAAACCAAGCTGTAAAGACCCGCCTTTTTCCTCACACACTTCTTCTCCCAGACCCAGGAGCCCAGCCTCCCGCTCCCCGTGGTCTCCATCACACTCACCTCTCCTCTCCGCGCACCACTGTTTCTAGCGTTAGTCGCTCACCGATGACGTCTCACTCTCGCGCCGTTATAGAGGCAAAGCTACTCTCTGATTGGTCCCCGCTCGCGATGTTCCTGGCCGCATTTGAAACAACAACTTTATTAGCACCTGGCACTAGGCGGAGAGAGGCGGTAAGCCGCGAGGAGGAAAGGGACTCACGTCCCGCTGTGGACCGATCCTGCTAAGCAGAGAATCGCTGTGGCCGGACGACGGGGCGTCGAGACAAGAAGAAAGACGTTGGCAACTCAGAGGACTGGTTGCGGCGTTAGACAAGAAAGCAAGGCCTTTAAGCAGGGATTCGGGGTGGACGTGGGGGTGGGCCGAAGCGAAGCCGGAAACAGGAAACTACAACTCCCACAAGGCCTAGGGCCACGTCCCGCCGTCCTCGGCTGCTGAGCCTGATGGGACAAGTAGTTTTGCGAACGGCTTAACCTACAGATTGAAGAGGTCGGAAGCTCTGAGGCCCGGGGCTTCCGGAGGTCGCGGAGATGGAATTGGAGCAGAGAGAAGGGTATGTGGCTGAGCCCTTGTGAAAAAGTGCGAATCCCAGAAAACAGTGCAGCTGCATTGTGTGCAACCATATGAGCTTTTACGCTGAGGTCTGATGGGGGTTGTAGTTCATGCAACTGCTTTACCTTAGAACCCTTTTATGGACTGGGGTCATCCTGAGGGAGGAGAAGGTTAGGGGTTTGGACTGCTGGATCTGACAGACTAGGAGGTTGGAAGCCAGGACTCTTGCGTCTGGTTGAGGGTTGGGGCTTGGACTCCCTGGGTCCTTGGAGAGAAAAAGTCTGGAGGTCTGGACTCTTGCATCCTGGGAGGAGGGGGTCAGGGCTTGAACCCTGTGGGTGCTGCGAAGGGTGGGTTGCGGACTTGGACTTCTGGGTCTGAGGGAGGAGGGCTGGGAGCTGGATTCTACGGTCTGAGGGAGGAGGGGCTGGGGGCCTGGATTCTAGGATCTCAGGGAGGAGGGGTTGGGGTCTGGGCTCCTGGTTCAGTGGGAGAAGGGGCTGGGGGTCCAGGATCCAGGGCCCCTGAGCCTTTCCCTGCCTCTCAGGACCATGGCAGCCGTGGGCTTTGAGGAGTTCTCAGCGCCGCCAGGCTCAGAGTTGGCGTTGCCTCCCCTATTTGGTGGCCACATCCTGGAGAGCGAGCTGGAGACGGAAGTGGAGTTTGTGTCAGGTGGTCTGGGCGGCTCAGGGCTCCGGGAGCGAGATGAAGAGGAAGAGGCAGCCCGGGGTCGGCGGCGGCGCCAGCGGGAATTAAATCGCAGAAAGTACCAGGCACTAGGTCGGCGCTGCCGGGAGATCGAGCAGGTAGGTGAGTGCGGATCCCCCGGTTTTGGGGTCCCCTGGCCTAAACTACCGCCCCCCGCAATCTCTGCCTTTCCACATGCCCAGCCTTTCTTGGCTTGCTGATATATTCAGTCATTTAGCTTATATATTCAGTCATTTAGCATGCATTATGTGTCTGGCCCTGTGCCGGGCCCCTGGAAGGGCCATCTCCCGTGGAGCTTCCCTGACAACGCAGATGGGTTCTCTGATGTCTCCCGGGGGCCTCTCAATGCGTGGCACCGCTCACAGGTGAAAGCCCAAGCTCTTCACATCTCCCATACCCCTGCCAGGATTCACTCCTCTCGACTCATTCATTCCGCCTCTTGAGTGTCTCTGGACCCTTCTCCTCTCCTCCATCCCTATGGCTGCCATTGCAAACTCCAGCTGTCTGGGCTGAATGACTGCAATAGCCTCCTTGCTGAGAATAAGGATGGGCTGGGCATGGTGGCTCACGCTTGTAATCCTAGCACTGGGAGGCTGAGGCAGGCGGATCACCTGAGGTTAGGAGTTCGAGACCAGCCTGGCCAACATGGTGAAACCCCATCTCTACTAAAATACAAAAAAATTAGCCAGGTGTGGTGGTGCGCACCTGTAGTCGCAGCTACTAGGGAGGCTGAGGCATGAGAATTGCTTGAACCCGGAAGGCGGAGGTTGCAGTGAGCCAAGATCATGCTGCTGTACTCCAGCCTGGGTGACAGAGTGAGACTCCGTCTCAAAATCAATCAATCAATCAATGAGGATTAAACAGCAGGCAGGGCTCAGATCTTGGCAGGCCAGGAACACCAGGACAAGAAGTCTGGATATTTTTTTTTCCTTGAGAGTGAAGGAGCCACTGAAGGGTTTCAAATGGGGGAGGAACAGCATCAGGTCTGGATGCCTGAAACTCTGAAGACAGTTGTATTAGTCTGCTTGGACTCCCAGAACTTATCACAAATAGGGTCCCTCAAGCACAGAAATTCCTGTCTGACAGTTCTGGAGGCTAGACATCCAAGGCAAGGTGTCGACAGGGTTGTGAGAATCTTCCAGGCCTCTCCCCTGGCTTCTGGAGGTTTCTGGCAGTCATTGGCACGTACAAACATCACCCTGATCTCCGCCTTCATCTTCACATTGCTGCTCCCTGTGTGTGTGTCTGTGTCCCAATTTACCCTTTTTATAAGGACTCCAGTCATACTGGATTAGGGCCCACCCACTGGCTTCATTTGAACTTGATTACTTTTGTAACGACACTGTCTCCATATAAGGTGATCCTGAGGTACTGGGGGTTAAAGCCTCAACACCCTCTTTTGGGGGAAATAATTCAACTTTTTTTTTTTTTTTTTTTTTTTTTTTGAGGTGGAGTCTCGCTCTTGTCTCCCAGGCTGGAGTGCAATGGCACCATCTCAGCTCACTGTAACCTCCACCTCCTGGGTTCAAGTGATTCTCCTGACTCAGCCTCCCTAGTAGCTGGGATTACAGGCGCCCGCCACCACACCCAGCTAATTTTTCTATTTTTAGTAGAGACAGGGTTTCACCATGTTGGTCAGGCTGGTCTCAAACTCCTGACCTCAGGTGATCTGCCCACCTCAGCCTCCCAAGGTGCTGGGATTACAGGCTTGAGCCACCACGCCTGGCCTTCAACTCTTTTTCTCTTTCTTGAGACAGGTTCTCACTTTGTCACCAAAGCTGGAGTGCAGTGGCGCAATCTCAGCTCATTGCAGCCTCAGTCTCCCAGGTTCAAGCAGTCCTCCTGCCTCAGCCCCCAAAATAGCTGGGACTACAGGCACACACCACCACACCTGGCTAATTTTTGTACTTTTTGTAGAGATGGGGTTTTGCCATGTTGCCCAGGCTGGTCTTGAACTCCTGACCTCAAGTGATCCACTCGCCTTGACCTCCCAAAATGCTAGGATTACAGGCATGAGCCACCACATCTGGCCTCAATTCTTAATGACAGTATTGGGGAGTTCTGTAAGGAGGAAGGCTAGAGGCCAGGGGCATATTCCAAACCCTGTTTAACAGACAGACACCAAGGCCCAAACGGACTCAACTGGAGCCTCTGCCATTAATCCACCCCCAGGAATAGATTACTACTATTTTACAAGTATAGAAAATCAAGGCTCAGAGAGGTTAAGTAATGCACCCAAGCTCAGAGCTCAGCAGTGGCAGATCTGAGATTTTTTTTTTTTTTTGAGACAGGGTCTTTCTCTGTTGCCCAGGCTGGAGTGCAGTGGCATGACTGTGGCTCACTGCAGCCCCAACATCCTGGACTCTAGCAATCTCAGCCTCCGAAGGAGCTGGGACTACAGCCACCAAGCCCAGCTAATTTTTTTGGTTAGTTTTTGAGTGTTGGGGTCTCACTCTGTTGCCCAGGCTGGTGTCGAACTCCTGGCCTCTCAAAGTGCTGGGATTATAGGCATGAGCCACTGTGCCAAGCCAGAGCCAAAACTTGAACTCTTTTTTTTTAGATGGATTTTCGCTCTTGTTGTCCAGGCTGGAGTGCAATGCTGCAATCTCAGCTCACTGCAACCTCCGCCTCCTGGGTTCAAGCGATTCTCCTGCCTCAGCCTCCCGAGTAGCTGGGATTACAGGCATGCGCCACTACACCTGGCTAATTTTGTATTTTTAGTAGAGACAGGGTTTCACCACGTTAGGCTGGTCTCAAACTCCTGACCTCAGGTGATCCGCTCGCCTTGGCCTCTGAAAGTGCTGGGATTACAAGCGTGAGCCACCGTGCCTGGCACTTTTTTTTTTTTTTTTCTTTTGAGACAGAGTCTTACTCTGTCACCCAGGCTGGAGGGCAGTGGTGTGATCTCGGCTCACTGCAACCTCCAGCTCCTGGGTTCAAGCGATTCTCCTGCCTCAGCCTCCTGAGAAACTGGGATTACAGGCATGCGCCACCATACCCAGCTAATTTTTGTATTTTTCTTTTTTTTTTTTTTTTTTTAGTAGAGATGAGGTCTCATCATGTTGGCCGGGCTGGTCTGGAACTCCCGACCTCAAACTCTTGAGTAGCTGAGATTACAGGCATGTGCCACAACATCCGGCCAATTTTTGTATCTTTAGTAGAGACGGGGTTTCACCATGTTGGCCAGGCTGGTCTTGAACTCCTGACCTCAAGTGATCTGCCCGCCCCGGCCTCCCAAAGTGCTGGGATTACAGGCGTGAGCCACTGTGCCCCGCCCGGAACTCAGGTCTTTCTGACCCAGGAGCAGCACCTGCTTCAGCCACTGTCTTTGGGTCCCTGTTTGGCTGAGTCACATCTCTCCCTCCATGTCTAGGCTGGAGTCCTCAGAAGCTGCGTGCAGGGCTGTCCCCTCAGCCTGGCATACTTTCCTCCTGTCACCCCTTTGTCTCCTCCTTATTCAAGTCTGGGCCCACGGGCCTTCTCTGCAGGTCGTAACTAAAGTCGCACCTCCTGCCCTAACCTCCAGCATGTCTGACTCTTTGGTATTCACCAAGCACTTCTCACTTTGCAAAGTCATTGATTCTGCAAATGTTCATGGAGGATGTACTACGTGCCAGGCTCTGGTTAAGGCACGGGATGTAGAAACAAGTTGCTGTCGTTTTTCAGCTCATGCTCTGGCTGGAGAGGCGGTCAGTCAGCAGAATAAGCAAAGAGGCGGAGAGGCTGCGTCCTGCCTCCTCAGATGAGCACTAGGAGGAAATAAAGCCAGGAGTGAATGGCCGGGTGGGGTTCTGGCATGGGAAGGGGGGTCGGGTGTGTTGCAATTTTTTTTTTTGAAACAGAACCTCGCTCTGTTGCCCAGGCTGGAGTGCAGTGGGGTGATCTCAACTCACTTCACCCCTCCACCTCCCAGGTTCGTGCGACTATCCTGCAGGCACCTGCCACCACGCCCAGCTAATTTTTTGTATTTTTAGTAGAGATGGGGTTTCATCATGTTGGCCAGGCTGGTCTCGAACTCCTGACCTCAGGGGACCTACTCGCCTCGGCCTCCCAAAGTGCTGGGATTACAGGCGTGAGCCACCGCACCTGGCCTGGTGTGTTTCGACTTAATGGGAGGTTCAGGCTCTCTGAGCAGGTAACAGTTGACCTAAGACTTGGAGTGGGGAGTAAGTTGTGCGGATGACTGGGGAGAGGGTCCAGGTAGAGGAACAGCACGCGGAAGGCCCCCACTGGAGGGCACTCAGGACTGTGGCATGGTGAGAGGGGAGCCGGAGGGATGGGAAGGTGGAAGGACCTCAGGCCACGGGATGGTCTTTGGCCAGTCTCCAGAGTTTAGTGCGTGCCCCATTAAACATCCGTTAAACAAATGAACGGGAGCCGTGGGATCCAGCTGATGGGCGTTTCCCACCCCATAGGTGAACGAGCGGGTCCTGAACAGGCTCCATCAGGTGCAGAGGATAACTCGGAGGCTGCAGCAGGAACGGAGGTAACCCCTTCTCCGTCCCCTCTGGGCCTGTGAGCCTCAGCTCCCAAATGCTCCCAGCCCCTCTGTCTCTCCCACTTCCACATCCACCCAACCCTCACAAGCCACAAGGAGAAGCCGGAGATGAGGGCCGGGGGCTGAGGCAAACAAGGAGGAAGAGTGGGATTCGGTGTTGGAGGAGAGGGCTGAGCACTGGGACTGAGGGAGGGCCGGGTGGAGAGGGCTGAGCACTGGGACTGAGGGAGGGCCGGGTGGAAGGGGCTGTGCGCTGGGACTGAGGGAGGGCCGGGTGGAGAGGGCTGAGCACTGGGACTGAGGGAGGGCCGGGTGGAGGGCCTCCTCCCCCTGAAGGGAGGGAACAGCAGGATGGAAGGCACACGAGCACAGACCTGACTGCAAGTATTTTCTTTTTTTTTTGCTGTGTGACTCTAAGCAAGCAGTGTCCCTTCTCTGAGCTGTTTCCTATCAACTAAGGGCAGCACCAATATCATGAGGCTGCGGCAGGGTTGTCGGAGCTTGCAGGTGGTGAGCTGAGCTCAGAGCTTCCCACTGTGTGTCTCCACAGAACCTGCCCAGGTGGCTGCTGCCCCTGCCACTCGCAGTGTCCCTGTACCAGCAAAACTGGAGCAAGTTTTGTAGGAATGGCTCCACGTTGCTGAGTCAACCACAGTTCTCATCTCAGTCCTTGGCTCAGGCTCGGCACAGTGGCCCAGGGCTATGTGCTCTTCCCTGGAGCCCATTCTTGCCATCCTGGGCACCCAGCAACCTGGGGTCTCCTGCCTTTCCGGCTGTTCCTTCTTGGCTGCCTTTGCTAGTTCATCCTCCCTCCCCAAAGCTGAAACCTGCGGCTCCCAGGGTTCCTCTGTCCGTACCTGTGCTGTCCAGCACGGTAGCCGCTGGCCACAGGTGAGATTTTCACTTAAGTTGAAATAGGCCGGGCGCAGTGGCTCATCATGCCTGTAATCCCAGCACTTTGGGAGGCCGAGGCAGGCGGATCACGAGGTCAGGAGATCGGGACCATCCTGGCTAACACGGTGAAACTCCGTCTCTACTAAAAATACAAAAAAATTAGCCGGGTGTAGTGGCAGGCGCCTGTAGTCCCAGCTACTCGGGAGGCTGAGGCAGGAGAATCGCTGGTACCAGGGAGGTGGAGGTTGTGGTGAGCCAAATTCACGCCACTGCACTCCAGCCTGGGTGACAGAGTGAGATTCCGTCGCAAAACAACAACAACAAACCTGCCCAGGTGCTGGTGCAGAGGAGGCATTCCATCAATTGAACCTTAAGGAACTCTGGAGGCAGGGGCTGGGGAAAAAAGAGAAGGGGGTGTTTATAAGAGGTGAGGTCATTAGGAGGAGCGTTCTGTACTCCCCTCTCTTCAGTTATCAATAAAAATTATAACTCACATATGAATGTTTACTAAGTGCTGACATCACATTAAGTACAGAAATCGTCTGGTGTCACTACTTCAGTGTCACCGCTGCAACATCCAGCCGAGGGTGTCATGTCGTTTGCAGAGCAGGAAACTCAGCCTCAGAATGGTTGCCTTGTCTTGCTCGAGGTCTCAAGGCTGGTCAAGGGCATGGCTCCCAGGCCTCCAGTGCCAGAGCTCAGGACCGTCTGGCTCCAGGACAGCTTTGGCGTTGAGTGGAGTGGGAGCTGAGCTCTATCCTGTGGCCCTTTTCCCCAGCCGCTAGGAGATAAGTTATTCCGTTGGTGGCTTCTCCCCCTGAGCAGGTTCCTCATGAGAGTGCTGGACTCCTACGGGGATGACTACCGGGCCAGCCAGTTCACCATTGTGCTGGAGGTGAGTGTTGGGCCTCCAGGAGGGTCAGGAACTGGGAGCTCAGGACCCACCCATCACCTACCTCCCCCTCCTGCCTGCCAGGATGAGGGCAGCCAGGGCACGGATGCCCCCACCCCAGGCAATGCGGAGAATGAGCCTCCAGAGAAAGAGACACTGTCCCCGCCCAGAAGGACTCCTGCACCCCCAGAACCCGGCAGCCCAGCCCCCGGTGAGGGGCCCAGTGGGCGGAAGAGGCGGCGAGTGCCACGGGATGGACGCCGAGCAGGAAATGCGCTGACTCCAGAGCTGGCCCCGGTGCAGGTGAGGAAGGCGGGAACTCAAGGGGAGGGACTGGGGCTCCAGAGCCGGCGCCAGTGCAGGTAAGGAGGGGGGACTCAAGGGGAGGGGCCAGGGCTGGGGCTGAGTTAGGTTCAGGGCTCTTGGGTTTTGGTTCTGCACCCCGAGGGGCCCAGGGCTGGGGAAAGTTGGAGAAGGGAGGTGAACCAGGACATGTTGGAGGCCTAGGATCAGGCAGGGAAGTAGTTGGAAAAAGTGGGGTAAAGGCTTGGGTAAAAAGGAGGCAAAGTTGGAAAGGGAAAGAGGAAGACCTGGAGAAGGAAAAATAGCTAGAGAAGGCTGGGAGTAGAGGAGAAGGAAGGATCAGAGAAGACGGAGTGGAAGGGAAGGCCCAGTGTGGGGAGGAAAGCTGGAAGAACATCTGGACCCAGGAACACTGGGATTGCCTCTGAGGTGTAAGGAGGAAGGTGACTGGCCTGGGCAGACAAGAACTGTGAGGCTGGCCAGGTGCAGTGGCTCATGCCTGTAATCCCGGCACTTTGGGAGGCCTAGGTGGGAGGATCACTTGAGGCCAGGAGTCTGAGACCTGCCTGAGCAACATACTGAGACCCCATCTCTACCAAAAAGAAAAAACATGTTAGGCTTGGTTGGCAAGTGCCTGTAGTCCCAGCTACTTGGGAAGCTGAGGTGGGAGGATCACTTGAGCCTGGGAGGCAGAGGCTGCAGTGAACTATGATGGCACCACTGCACTCCAGCCTGGGCAACAGAGTGAGACCCTGTCTCTTTAAAAAGCAAAACAAAATGAAAACAAAAATGGTGAAGCTGATGGGATTTTCTAGATTCCCAGGCCTGTTAACACCTTGTTCCTTATCTCCTGCAGATTAAGGTTGAGGAAGACTTTGGCTTTGAAGCAGATGAGGCCCTGGATTCCAGTTGGGTTTCTCGGGGTCCAGACAAACTGCTGCCCTACCCGACCCTGGCCAGCCCAGCCTCTGACTGACGCATGCCCAATAAACTGACCCCACACTCACCCCGGCCACCGTCTACTTGTTCCCACCTCTGATCACACACATGCTCACGTTCGGGGGTTGGTTTTCACATTTTTATTGGGAGCCGTGGGAGGGGCCGCCTCTGTCAGTGGAGGTGCTCACAGTTTCTTCAGCCACTCCAGGCTGGGGCCCTGAGGGTCCTGGGGGTGGCTGGGCACGTCGGGCATGTTCCCATCATCACGGACGGGCACTGTGGGGCAGGAGGTGGGCCACTGAGACCAGCACGTCTCCAGGGCCCTGGAGAGAAGAGCTGGTCTGTCGCTTTATGTTCAGAGAGGGAAGGGGGACCCCAGGGGTGAGAGGGGAAGGGTCAGAGAATCAGTGATGCAGAAAGAGGCGGGAAATACAGAGACTGAGAGACACGGAAAACCAGAGAGATAGCGAGGGAGAGATCCCGCGCACTAGAGAGCTAGGGTCAAAAGAGATGGGGAAACAGGACAGAAACCTGAGAAGATGGAGACCAAGAAACCACCACAGATGGGAACCCAGAGAGAGACAGAAATCTGGAAAGGTAATAGAAACTCGAAGCACAGGCCAGGCGCGGTGGCTCACACCTGTAATCCCAGCACTTTGGGAGGCCGAGGTGAGTGGATCACAAGGTCAGGAGATCGAGACAATCCTGGCTAACACGGTGAAACCCCGCCTCTACTAAAAAAATACGAAAAAGTTTGCGTGTCGTGGTGGCGGGCACCTGTAGTCCCAGCTACTCGGGAGGCTGAGCTTGCAGTGAGCTGAGATCGCGCCACTGCACTCCAGCCTTGGCGACAGAGCGAGACTCTGTCTCAAAAAAACCCAAAAAAACAAAAACGAAGCACAAACACAGAATAGTATACGAATTATATCTCAATTCTTAAAAAATGGAACGGGGGGTCCGGGCACCACTGCAGAATCTCTGATAACTGCTTAGGAAAGACCTGCCCATAACTGCCCTTACGCCAGCACAGGGAGGCTGGGCCTATTCCGGGGATCCCTGCCTGGCCCCCACTCACCTGGGTAGTTGTAGGGCGTGGCCTTGTTGATCATGACGGAGTACTTGAAGTAGGGGCTCAATGGGGGCAGAATTACAGCTGTGGAGAGACACAGGGGTGAGGCCCAGGGGAAGGTGGCTCTGAAGAGAGGGGAAGAGAAGGTGAGCCTTGGCAAAGGGAAGATAAAGTGCGCAGGGGGAGGGCAGCAGGGAGGGCCAGCACGTCCAGGAGGATCCTTGGTACCTTGGGATCCCTACTTATAGACAGGAGGGTTTAAAACTCTTTTTTGGGGGGTTAAGTGGAGGTAGGGGTTGGAGCCTAACACTCACAGATACGTGGGGCCTGGAGGAGGCAGCAGTGGGGTTGGTCATGGAATGAGCACGTTTGAGTGTAGGGTCATCATGGAGCATCCTGGGGGTAGTGTCATGGGACTGTTCTGGAGAAATCAAGACTGTTACAAATTTGGCCGGGCACAGTGGCTCAAGCCTGTAATCCCAGCACTTTGGGCGGCCAATGTGGGCGGATCACCTGAGGTCAGGAGTTCGCGACCAGCCTGGACAACATGATGAAACCCCATCTCTACTAAAGATACGAAAATTAGCCGGGCGTGGTGGCAGGAGCCTGTAATCCCAGCTACTCAGGAGGCTGAGGCAGAAGAATCCCTTGAGCCTGGGAGGCAGAGGTTGCAGTGAGCCCAGATTGTGCCATTGCACTCCAGCCTGGGCAACAGAGAGAGACTCCATCACCAAAAAAAAAAAAAAAAAAAAGCCTTACAAACTGGAGGAGAAAGGGTTGCACAAACAACAGTCACTGACCACAGTCCATTTAGGGTGGGAGCCAGGAGTCCTGGGGGATGGGGTACAGTTCATAAAAGGAATGTTCTAGGCCAGTGCTGTCTGACAGATGGTAAGAGCCAGGTATATAATTTTATATCTTCTAGTAGCTACAGTAAAAATAAGAGATACAGATGAAACAAATTTTAAGAAACATACTTGGATGGGCGAGGTGGCTCATGCCTATAATCCCAGGACTTTAGGAGGCTGAGACGGGTGGATCACCTGAGGTCAGGAGTTCGAGACCAGCCTGACCAATATGATGAAACCCCGTCTCTACTGAAAATACAAAAACAGCCAGGTGTAGTGGCATGCGCCTGTAATCCCAGCTACTAAGGAGGCTGAGACAGGAGAATCGCTTGAACCCGGGAGGCGGAGGTTGCAGTGAGCCGAGATCAGGCCATTGCACTCTAGCCTGGACAAAAGCGAAACTCCGTCTCAAAAAAACAAAAACAAACAAACAAAAAAAACCATAGTACATCCAAAACATCACTTCGCCATGTAATCAACAAAAGATTATTGGTAGTTTACACACTCTGTTATACTAAGTTTTTGAAATCCAGTGTCTTATACCACCTCAATTCATACCAGCACCACTTCAAATGCTCAGTGGCCAGTTGTGGCTGGTGGCTGCCATACTGAATAAGTGTTCAGAACCTTAACCTAGTGCCTGGCTGGTGGACCAGCAGTACTGACAAGACCTGGGAACTCTTCAAAAATGCAGAATCCCATGCCCCACCCCAGACCTACAGAATCAGAACCTACAGTTTGGCCGGGCGCAGTGGCTCACCCCTGTAATCCCAGCACTTTGGGAAGGCAGATCACTTGCGGTCAGGAGTTCAAGACCAGCCTGGCCAACATGGTGAAACCTTGTCTCTACTAAAAATACAAAAATTAGCCGGGCGTGGTGGTGCTCGCCTGTAATCCCAGCTACTTGGGAGGCGGAGGCAGGAGAATCACTTGAACCCTAGAGGCGGAGGTTGCAGTGAGCCATGATCAAACCATTGCACTGTAGCCTGGAAGACAGAGCGAGACGCCATCTCAAAAAAAAAAAAAAAAAAAAGCTGGCCGGG
The DNA here is from genome assembly GCF_000001405.40 of Homo sapiens. Lineage (NCBI taxonomy): Eukaryota > Metazoa > Chordata > Mammalia > Primates > Hominidae > Homo > Homo sapiens. Next base: position 78,546 of record NW_003571054.1, on the reverse strand, counting down.
CGCGGTGGCTCACGCCTGTAATCCCAGCACTTTGGGAGACCGAGTTGGGAGGATCACGAGGTTAGGAGATCGAGACCATCCTGGCTAACACGGTGAAACCCCGTCTCTATTGAACATACAAAAAATTAGCCGGGCATGGGGGCGGGCGCCTGTAGTCCCAGCTACTCGGGAGGCTGAGGCAGGAGAATGGCGTGAACCCGGAAGGCGGGGCTTGCACTGAACCGAGATCGCGCCACTGCACTCCAGCCTGGGCGACAGAGCGAGACTCAGTCTCAAAAACAAAAACAAAAAATTAGCTGGGCGCCTGTAATCCCAGCTACTCGGGAGGCTGAGGCAGGAGAATCCCTTGAACCCAGGAGGCCGAGGTTGCAGTGAGCCGGGATCGCGCCACTGCACTTCAGCCTGGGTGAGAGTGAGACTCCATCGCAAAAAAAAAAGCTACATTTTAACAATCCCCCGCCCCCATCCCTGCAGGAACTCCGGTGCTAATTAAAGTGTGAGTAGGGCAGTTCCAGGGCAGAGGGCAGAGATTTTCAATCAGCAAGGCACATTGGGATCATACGGGGATTTTCACAAGACACAGATTCCCCAGTCCCACCTCCACCCAAGCCAACTCAATTCAGAATGGGGGAGAGGAAAGATGAAAAGGAGGAGGAGGATCTGGACTTTTTTTTGGTGCTCAGGTGTTAAGGCATAAGCAGGGTTGAGAACGTCTCATTTAGAGGGGTTAAGAGCGTATTGGGTAGGTGGAGAGGAACGCGGGGGGCGATGGTGGAGAGGTTATAATGGGTATGGGGATAGATAAGGGGATGCCGTGGGGGTGCAGACACACTAGAGGGGACCCGAGGGCGGCGATAGGGCTTTAGGGGTACAAGATGGAGGGATGTAGGGGGACGGGGGTGGACGATGCAAGTTTGCGCCTGGAGCACTCACGCACCGAGGCCCCCGACGACGAAGGACACGACCAGCACTGGCTCCTTGTCCCAGGCATTCTTGAGGAAGGCGCCGACTCCTGAAGGGGTGGCAAGAAGCGTCACCCCTGCAAGTAGCTGCCCCCGGTGACCTCTAACCCTCTCGTGCCACCCCTGCCCTGGAGGAGCCCCCTCGTGACTTCTGCGTTCCCCTCCAGCACGGACCCCATCGCTTCCACCCCTGCCCTGCCGCACCTCAGTCCCAGGACCGCCCAGAGGTTCCCAGAACTACCCGAGCCCCGTGCGCCACCGGAACCTGCACTTACTCGCAGCCATCTTTGTCTCCGCGGCGGCGACAGCGGCGAGGACGCGGAGCACCCTGGGAGTTGTGGTCCCTATGCGCGAGAACCCGCTCCCAGGGCTGCGCGTGCGCCCTGGAGCACAAGTAGAGGCGAAAGCAAGGACGCGGAGCACTCTGGGAGTTGTGGTCCCTCTGTGCGACGGCCCGCTTTCGGAGCCTGCGCGTGCGCACTCGCGCAGAACAAAGATGGAGCCGTGGAGGTAAAGGAAGTGGTGTCAGGAGCAAGCGCAAGCCTGACTTTGCGGACCTGCGTGGAATCTCCTTAGTCTCAGCCTAGAAGTCGCTCCGGAGTGACTAGTCCTCCTGCTGCGACCCACCTAAGGCGGAACAAAATAGTCCCCATTTTATAGTTTATGTATGAAAGCCCATTTTACAGACGAAGAAACTGAGCCCGGGAGAAGGTGAATGACTAACCTGTCCTTCGAGGTCTCAGCTCAACATCGGCTCGTCCTGGAAGCGCTAGGTCTCATCCCAGATGGGTTAGGAGCTTTCTGCGGGCTCTCACAGTGCTCTGTTACCGCCATTATAGCTCAGATCACTTAAGAAACTGACCTGGTCTGGGCCGGGCGCGGTGGCTCACGCCTGTAATCCCAGCACTTTGGGAGGCCGAGGCGGGCGGATCACGAGGTCAGGAGATCTAGACCATCCTGGCTAACATGGTGAAACCCTGTCTCTACTTAAAAATACAACACAAATTAGCCGGGCGTGGTGGTGGGCGCCCGTAGTCCCAGCTACTGGGGAGGCTAAGGCAGGAGAATGGCGTGAACCCGGGAGGCGGAGCTTGCAGTGAGCCGAGATCACACCACTGCACTCCAGCCTGGGCGACAGAGCGAGACTCCGTCTCAAAAAAAAAGGAAACTGACCTGGTCTTGGTCTTTCAGTCGGACTGGTAGCTGCTGCTTGAGAGCAGTAACGGAGTCTGAGTTCCCTCTGTGCCTGCCAACATGGCACAGCGAGGGTCTGGCACGTAATAGGTTCTAATTTTTTTTTTTTTCTTCTGAGATTGAGTCTAGCTCTGTCGCCCAGGCTGGAGTGCAATGGCGCGATCTCGGCTCACAGCAACCTCCGACTCCCGAGTTCAAGCGATTCTCCTGCCTCAGCCTCCTGAATAGCTGGGATTACAGGCGCGCGCCTCCACAGCCGGCTAATTTTTCTTTTTTAGGAGAGACGGGGGTTTCTCCATGTTGGTCAGGCTGGTCTCGAACTTCCCGATCTCAGGTGATCCACCCGCCTTGGCCTCCCAAAGTGCTGGGATTACAGGCGTGAACAACCGCGCCCGGCCTAGAGGGGCTAATTTTTATCTATCTATCTATCTATCTATCTATCTATCTATCTATCTAACACAGTATCACACCAAGAGCCTGGCACATAATAGGTGCTAATTTTTCTCTGTCAACCAATCTATCAATCGATCAATTAATCACAGCAAGGGCCTGGCACATAATTGGTGTTAATTTTTATCTATCCATCAATCAATCACAGCAAGGGCCTGGCACTTAACAGGTGCTAATTTTTATCTATCTATCTATCTATCTATCTATCTATCCATCCATCCATCTATCTATCTTTCAATCACAGCAAGGGCCTGGCACATAATAGGTGCAAATTTTTATCTATCTGTCAATCAATGACAGCAAGAGTCTGGCACATAATAGGTTCTTATTTTTAAAACAGACAGATATCTTTCTATCTGTCTATCTATATTTAAAGACATGGTCTCACTCTATCACCCAGGCTGGAGTGCAGTGGCACAATTTATTTATTTTTTAGACAGGGTCTCGCTCTGTTGCCCAGGCTGCTCTTGAACTCTTGGGCTCAAGCGATCCTCCTGCCTCCACCTCCTGACTAGTATTTGTTTCTAGAGTTAAATAAATGAACACCACAGGTTATGACTGAACCCCCTGCTAATTTTTCCACAGTGCCATAGGGCTATGACACAGTCACCCACAGGCCCCCACCTCGATACTCTCTTCCGTAAATGAGGATCTGGGTCTGGTTTTCTGATGTTGCCTCATTTCCTGGGAGGGGAGAGGGTGCGACCAAGCCCTGGCTCCAGCTCTAGCGGGTATCTGCCCACCATGGCCCTGGTGCTGATCCTCCAGCTGCTGACCCTCTGTGAGTCACCCCTTTCTTCTCCCTGGGTTCCTGGCTGGGGTTGGGGGCAGAGAGAGAGGCAATGGAGACCCAGACACCCTGCAGGGGGACCAGGCAGCAGGTTTGGGATTCTAGGTTCAAATAAAGAACAGGGCTGGGGCCCAGACCCCTGGGTCCTAAAGCAAGAGAACACAGATTCCCGAAAGAGGAAGGAGGTGGGGACAGGTATCTCTGGTTCTTGAGGCAGGAAGAGGTCAGGAGACAGGGAGGACTCCCAGATTCTTATATGGGAGGGGGATGGAAGCCAGGACTCCTGATTCCCTGGGAAAAGGGGGCTGGGAACAGGGCTCTTAGCTCCTGAGAGAAGAGGGAAATGGGGACCCAGATTCCTGAACTCGTGAGAGGAGAAACTCTACGATCATTGTTCCCTGGAAAGGTGGAGTTCAAGGGCCTGAACTCTTGGTTGCCCAGGCCAGAGGGGTCTGCGTTCAGACTTCTTCGGTAGGTGGGCAATGGATGTCCAAATTTCTGCCTACTGAGACAGGAGGAGGGAGGGATAAGATTCTCATTTCCCAGAGGAGATAGGAGCTGGGAACTCAGATTCCTGGGTTACCAATGAGATGGGGCTGGCCACAAAGGGTTTTGAAAAGAACTCGCTGTTGGGCGCAGCGGCTCATGCCTGTGGGAGCCGAGGCCCAGCACTTTGGGAGGCCGAGGCGGGTGGATCACCTGAGGACAGGAGTTCAAGACCAGCCTGACCAACATGGCGAAACCCCTCTCTACTAAAAATACAAAGATTAGCCTGGTGTGGTGGCGGGCACTTGTAGTCCCAGCTACTACGGAGGCTGAGGCAGGAGAATCACTTGAACCTGGGAGGCAGAGGTTGCAGTGAGCTGAGATCACACCACTACACTCCAGCCTGGGCGACAGAGTGAGAGTCTGCCTCAGACAAAAAAAAAAAAAGGAAAAAGAAACTAGTCCCTCAACCTCCTACAGGGCCTCTGTGTCACACAGACATCACTCCGTCTGGTGAGTAGCCACCCCATCCACTCTCCTTTTGTTGCTGACACCCCTTTTCCAATTACTCAGATTTTATTTTGGTGCCCAATCCCATCCCAGATATCCTTATTTTCCTCCCTCCCTCCATTCCTTCCTTCTTTTCTCATTCCCCTTAGTGGCCATTATAGGTGAGTACTGAAGACCAGGAACTTCTGAGGCAGAGGCCTAAGCTAGGACCTCAGTTTCACCATCGTATTCATTTATATGTGACCATATGACCTAGAACAAGTCACAGCTTGCTAAGACTCCATTTCCTTCTCTGTAAAATGGGCCGCTGTGAGATCTCATCAAATCACATGTGCAAAACCCTGAGCCTGGCACAGTACAGGGCTTAAGAAATAGGATCTTGGGCTGGGCGCAATGGCCAACGTCTGTAATCCCAGCACTTTGGGAGGCAGAGGCGGGCGGATCACAAGGTCAGATCGAGATCATCCTGGCTAATGTGGTGAAACCCCGTCTCTACTAAAAAAAAAAAAAAAAAAAAAAAAAAATTAGCCGGGTGTGGTGGGACGCACCTGTAATCCCAGCTACTCAGGAGGCTGAGGCAAGAGAATCGCTTGAACCCAGGAGGCAGAGGTTGCAGTAAGCTGAGATCGCGCCACTGCACTCCAGCCTGGGTGACAGTGCAAGACTCCACTTCAAAAACAAACAAACAAACAAACAAACAAAAACTCTTTTGGAGATATTTCAGTGTCGCTATAGCTATCTCTACCTATTTATTTTATTTATTTATTTATTTATTTTGAGACCAGTTTCTCTCTGTCGCCCAGGCCGGAGTGCAGTGGTGCAATCTCGGCTCACTGCAACCACCTCCTGGGTTCAAGGGATTCTCCTGCCTCAGCCTCCTGAGTAGCTGGGACTACAGGCACACACCACAATGCCCGGATAATTTTTGTATTTTTAGTAGAGACAGGGTTTCCCCATGTTGGTCAGGCTGGTCTGGAACTCCTGACCTCAGGTGATCCCTCTGCCTCAGCCTCCCAAAGTGTTGGGATTACAAACATGAGCCCCCTCACCCGACCCTTATTTTTATTCATTTTTAGAGATGGGGTCTCATTGTGTCACCCGGGCTGGAGTACGGTGGCTCTATCATAGCTCACTGCAGCTTTGAATTCCTGGGCTCAGACAATCCTCCAGCCTCAGCCTCCCAAAGTGCATGCCACCATGGAGTTCTCACTCTGTTGCCCAGGCTGGAGTGCAGTGGCATGATCTCAGCTAACTGCAGCCTCCGACTCTAGGGTTCAAGTAATTCTCCTACTCAGCATCCCAAACAGCTGGAACTACAAGCTAGCACTACCACGCCTGGCTAATTTTTCTGTTTTTAGTAGAGATGGGATTTTACCATGTTGGTCAGGCTGGTCTTGAACTCCTGACCTCAGGTGATGCACCCACCTTGGCCTCCCAAAGTGCTGGGATTACAGCTGTGAGCCACCGGACCCAACAGCCTTCCTGTACTCTTAATTTGTGTGATTTGTGAATAAGTGATATCTGCCAGTACTATCATTTGTCCTCCAGTTTTGTCTTTTAGCATACACAACTTAAGAAATTTGAAGTGGTCAAATTAATTAATCTTCCATACAACTTTTTATTTTATATTTTAAGAAGCCTTCCTTACCCCAAGACAAATATATTTTCCTATAGTTTTTTGAATACTTTTATAGTTTAAAAAAAAAGAAACACAGGGTCTTTAATTAATCTGGAAGTTGTTTTGGGAAATGGTATGAGGTAGGGATCCAACATTTTTCTTTTCCAAATAGCAAGTTTTGGCAACTCTTGAAATACTATATTGCAAATATTCTGGAAAGCTATTTAAAATTAGAGTTCTGGCTGGGCGTGGTGGCTCACACCTGTAATCCCAGCACTTTGGGAGGCCGAGGTGGGAGGATTGCTCGAGCCCAAGAGTTCAAGAGTAGCCTGGGCAATATAGCGAATGCTCGTCTCTACTAAAAATTAAAAAAAAAAAATTAGCCTGGTGTAGTGGCATGTGCCTGTGGTCCCAGGTACTCAGGAGGCTGAGGTGGAGGACTGTTTGAGCCCAAGAGATTGAGGCTGCAGTGAGTTGAGAACATGCCACTGCACTCCTGCCTGAGCAACACAGCAAGACCCTGCCTCAAAAAAAAAAAAAAAAAAAAAAAAAGTCTGGGTGTGGTGGCACAAGCTTGTAAACTTAGCACTTTGGGAGGCCGAGGTGGGAGGATTGCTTGAGGCCAGTAGTTTAAGACCAACCTGCTCAACATAGGGAGACCGCCCCCTCCCATCTCATTACTTAAAAATAATAATAATAATAAAATTACAGAGTTCTGGGACCTGACCTTTTGAAACTGTGTTTACAAACTGTGGAGTAAAGCTCAGAAGTTTCTGTCCTGCCCCTCTGATTTGCACCTGGTTTTAACAAGGCTTGATTGTAGTCCAGTCTCTCCCTGATTTTACAAACAGGAAACTGAGGCTAAGAAAGGGGCAGTAATTGTCCAAGGTGATTTTCCTCCTTCCCCAACTTCCCTTTCATCTTCTGGGGCTCCCAGGAGGCCCGAGGACCCAGGCAGCCCCGTTTATTCAGTCCCCCCAGCTTCATACCACCCTAAGCCATGGCTGGGAGCTCAGCCGGCTACAGTTGTGACCCCTGGGGTCAACGTGACCTTGAGATGCCGGGCACCCCAACCCGCTTGGAGATTTGGACTTTTCAAGCCTGGAGAGATCGCTCCCCTTCTCTTCCGGGATGTGTCCTCCGAGCTGGCAGAATTCTTTCTGGAGGAGGTGACTCCAGCCCAAGGGGGAATTTACCGCTGCTGCTACCGAAGGCCAGACTGGGGGCCGGGTGTCTGGTCCCAGCCCAGCGATGTCCTGGAGCTGCTGGTGACAGGTGAGGTCCTGGGGTCGGGGAGGAGAAGTGGGTGGAACAAGGGAGTTGGGGGAGGGACAGAGAGATATAGGGAAAGAGAGACAGAGCGAGGCGGGCAAACAGATTCACAGACACAAGAAAAGACAGATACAGAGACACTAGGGGGAGAGAGAGAGACAGGGGAGCAGAGAGAGAGAGACAGGGGAGCAGAGAGAGAGAGAGGTACAGTGCGGGGGGAGAGAGAGAGAAAGAGGCAGAAGGAGAAAGGGAGGCAGAGAGAGAGGGAGGCAGAGAGAGAGGGAGGCAGAAAGAGAGGGAGGCAGAGAGAGAGGCAGGCAGAGAGAGAGGCAGGCAGAGAGAGAGGGAGGCAGAGAGAGAGGGAGGCAGAGAGAGAGGGAGGCAGAGAGAGAGGGAGGCAGAGAGAGAGGGAGGCAGAGAGAGGGAGGCAGAGAGAGAGGCAGGCAAAGAGAGAGGCAGGCAGAGAGAGAGGGAGGCAGAGAGAGAGGGAGGCAGAGAGAGAGGGAGGCAGAGAGAGAGGGAGGCAGAGAGAGAGGGAGGCAGAGAGAGGGAGGCAGAGAGAGAGGGAGGCAGAGAGAGAGGCAGACAGAGAGAGAGACAGGCAGAGAGAAAGAGAGGCAGAAAGAGAGAGAGAGGCACAGAGAAAGCGAGAGACAGAGGAGAAGGAGAAACAGAGCGAGCGAGCGAGCGGAAGACGCTCACGCGGCCCCGGACTCTCACCCCGTCTCTGCAGAGGAGCTGCCGCGGCCGTCGCTGGTGGCGCTGCCCGGGCCGGTGGTGGGTCCTGGCGCCAACGTGAGCCTGCGCTGCGCGGGCCGCCTGCGGAACATGAGCTTCGTGCTGTACCGCGAGGGCGTGGCGGCCCCGCTGCAGTACCGCCACTCCGCGCAGCCCTGGGCCGACTTCACGCTGCTGGGCGCCCGCGCCCCCGGCACCTACAGCTGCTACTATCACACGCCCTCCGCGCCCTACGTGCTGTCGCAGCGCAGCGAGGTGCTGGTCATCAGCTGGGAAGGTGAGGGCCCTGAGGCCCGGCCCGCCTCCTCCGCCCCAGGAATGCAGGCCCCAGGACCTCCGCCCTCAGACCCAGGAGCCCAGGCCCCCAGCCTCTCCTCCTTCAGACCCAGGGGTCTAGTCCTGCAGCCCCTCCTCCCTCAGACCCAGGATTCCTGGGACCCAGCCCCTCCTCCCTCAGATCCAGGAGTCTAGTCCTCCAGCTCCTCCTCCCTCAGACCCAGGATTCCCGGGCCCCAGTACCTCCTCCCTCAGACCCAGGACTCCAGGCCCCCAGCCCCTCCTTCCTGGACCCAGGACTCCAGGCCCCCAGCCCCTCCTTCCTGATCCAGCAGTCCAGGCCCCAGCCCCTTCTTCCTGGACCCAGGAGTTGAAGCCTCCATCGACTCCCCCTCAACTTTGAGACTGTAGAGTCAGGTCCCTAAGTCCACCCCAGGGGCTGGAAACCTGGAGTTCAGGGCCCAGACTTTGGGGTCCGGGAGCTGATGGCCCCTCTCTCCCGGCTCCGCCCGCAGACTCTGGCTCCTCCGACTACACCCGGGGGAACCTAGTCCGCCTGGGGCTGGCCGGGCTGGTCCTCATCTCCCTGGGCGCGCTGGTCACTTTTGACTGGCGCAGTCAGAACCGCGCTCCTGCTGGTATCCGCCCCTGAGCCCCAGGAGCACTGCAGCCCGAGACTTCCAACCTGAGTGGCGGAGAAGCTGGGACCCTGGGCTGGACTGTCCTTTCCTGCAGCCCCACAGTCCTGCTGGCTGAGCTCCGCGGAACGGTCCTTAGACCCCGCTGTGCCCTGTGCTGTAGCTTCTTTCCAGGCCTTTCCCAAGGAGTAGCTGAAAGGAAGACGCGATTAGTGGTTAAGACTTCCAAGCCAGAAGACAGAGGGTTCGAATCCCAGCACTGCCGTCTACTCACTGTAGTAGTAGCAGCTACAGAAAGGTAGTAGTGAGACGTGAAGCCAGCTGGACTTCCTGGGTTGAATGGGGACCTGGAGAACTTTTCTGTCTTACAAGAGGATTGTAAAATGGACCAATCAGCACTCTGTAAGATGGACCAATCAGCGCTCTGTAAAATGGACCAATCAGCAGGACATGGGCGGGGACAATAAGGGAATAAAAGCTGGCGAGCGCGGCACCCCACCAGAGTCTGCTTCCACGCTGTGGGAGCTTTGTTCTCTTGCTCTACACAATAAATCTTGCTGCTGCTAACTCTTTAGGTCCGTGCCATCTTTAAGCGCTGTAACACTCACCACGAAGGTCCCTGGCTCCATTCTTAAAGTCAGCGAGACCACAAACCCACAGGAAGGAACCAACTCTGGACACGGTAGCAGCATTCAGAAAGCGCCCTTCCCCAACTCTCTCTTGCCTTGACGGTAAAATGGATGCACTGATAAAACCCACTTCATAGGATTGTTGTAGGATTCAGTGGGTAATACACATAAAACATTTAAAGCAGTAACTGGCCCGTAGTAAGTGTTCAATAAATGTTAGCTACCCTGTAACACCGATTTCTACCAGACTCAGTGCCGAAAGGAAGGTCTCACCTTTTTGCCATCAAGCATAATCAAGCACGACTTTTTCTTTCTTTCTTTCTTTTTTTTTTTTGAGAGAAGATCTCACTCCACCCAGGCTGGAGTGCAGTGGCGTGATCTCGGTTCACTGCAACATCCGCCTCCCGGGTTCAAGTGATTCTCGTGCCTCAGTCTCCTGAGTAGCTGGGATTACAGGTGTGCGCTATCACGCCCAGCTAATTTTTGTATTTTTAGTAGAGATGGAGTTTTGCCAAATTGGCCAGGTGGTCTCGAACTCCTGACCTCAAGTGATCCACCTGCCTCGGCCTCCCGAATAGCTGGGATTACAGGTGCGTACCACCATGTCCGGCTAATGTTTGTATTTTTAGTAGAGACGGGGTTTCACCATGTTGACCAGACTGGTCTTGAACTCCTGACCTCAAGTGATCCGCCCGCCTCAAGAACTGAATTTTGAAGTCTAATTAGCCACCTGGGGGCGCTAACGTGTTGAAAAGACGGGAGGAGAGACTGAGCGGGTCTTCCGGGGTTTGATCTCAGTGCCAGAGGGGCCTTGGTAGAACATATGTGGGACAACCTCCCCGGCATATGTGGCTGTGGGAAATAATAACAATTTTAAAAAAGGAATAAGCCGGGGGTGCTGGCTCACACCTGTGATCCTAGCACTTTGGGAGGCCGAGGCAGGTGGATCACGAAGTCAGAAGTTCGAGACCAGCCTGGACAACATGGTGAAACCCCGTCTCTACTAAAAATACAAAAATTAGCCGGGCGTGGTGGCGGGCGCCTGTAATCCCAGCTACTCGGGAGGCTGAGGCAGGAGAATTGCTTGAACCCAGGAGGCGGAGGTTGTAGTGAGCCGAGATTGCATCACTGCACACTCCAGCCTGGGTGACAGAGCAAAACTCCGTCTCAAAAAAAAAAAAAAAAAAAAAAAGAATAAAGAAGAGACGCAGGTTATAAGGAAGGCACCAGACCTGGATGAGGCTGTGATGTCATCAAATCCAGTCTTCCCACTTTATAAATGGGAAAATGGTGGAAAGAGAGGTGATATTAAGTTTACCTAAACATGTACAGGAAGTCAGTGGCACATCAGGGAGTCTTTTTTTTTCCTTTTTCCCTCTTTTTTTATTTTATTTTATTTTATTTTATTTTTTTTGAGGTGGACTTTCGCTCTTGTTGCCCAGGCTGGAGTGCAATGGCGCCATCTCGGCTCACCACAACCTCCGCCTCCCAGGTTCAAGTGATTCTCCTGCCTCAGCCTCCCGAGTAGCTGGGATTACAGGTGTGAGCCACCACACCTGGCTAATTTTGTATTTTGAGTAGAAACAGGGTTTCTCTGTGTTGGTCAGGCTGGCCTCGAACTCCCAAACTCAGGTGATCCGCCCGCCTCAGCCTCCCAAAGTGCTGGGATTACAGGCATGAGCCACCGTGCCCGGCCCTCTTTTTTTAAAAATGTATTTCCACCCAAAGCAGAGAAAAAGAAGTCTTGGCCGAGTTTGTACTTCAACTTAACTCCATGTATTCATCCATTCAATCACTCCTTCATTCACCATTCACTCATTCATGTCTAGCATTGATTCTCATCCTTATTCATTTCTATTGAGCATCTCTTTTTCCTTTGCTTTCATTTGTACATTTGTCTATTTCATTTGTCCTTATCCATCATGCATTCATTCATATTTCCATCCATTTACCCATCCATTTCTTCATTAACCAGTTTTTAATCCACTGAACTATTTATTCATTCAATATCCATCTATCTACCTGTGCATTTATCTATCCAATAAGCTTGAGATTTTTTTTCTTTTTGAGATGGAGTCTTGCTCTGTTTCCCAGGTTGGAGTGCAGTGTTGTGATCTCAGCTCACTACAATCTCCACCTCCCGGGTTCAAACGATTCTCCTGCCTCAGCCTCCCAAGTAGCTGGGATTACAGGCACCTGCCACCATGCCCGGCTAATTTTGTGTTTTTAGTAGAGATGGGGTTTCACCATGTTGGCCAGGCTGTTCTCGAACGCTTGACCTAAAGTGATCCATCTGCCCACCTTGGTCTCCCTTTAAAGTGCTGGGATTACAAGCGTGAGCCACCGCACCCAGCTGAGATTTCTTCATAGCAGTTTACCAGTGACCAGTGTTCAATGAATGCTTATTGAGTGAGTTGTAGTCACAATGCTTATTTCATTTTCTACCACTGAACATCTTTTCATACTGGTCATTTTGCTGGGTGATCCACATAGGTTATTTCTGATCAACAGCCCCCAAGACACACAGAAGTGCCTAACTTGGGACTTGTCTGTGTGGTTAGACTGCTGGGTCTTTTCCCCCTGTTCCTGCCTCTTAAAGCAATGACAACACTGCCATCACCACGCCTGGCCAATTTATTATTACTATTATTATTATTTTTTTTTTGAGATGGAGTCTCGCTCTGTTGCCAGGCTGTAGTGCAATGACGCGATCTCGGCTCACTGCAACCTCCGCCTCTTGGGTTCAAGTGATTCTCCTGCCTCGCCCTCCCGAGTCGCTGGGATTACAGGCGTGTGCCACCACCATGCCCAGCTAACTTTTGTATTTTTAGTAGAGATGGGGTTTCACCATGTTGGCCAGGATGGTCTCGATCTATTGACCTCGTGATCCACCCCCCTCGGCCTCCCAAAGTGCTGGAATTACAGGCGTGAGCCACCGCGCCCGGCTAATTGTTTACTTTTTATAGCTATGGGATCTCACCATGTTGTCCAGGCTGGTCTTGAATGCCTGGCCTCAAGCCATCCTCCTTCCTTGGCCTCCCAAAGTGCTGGGATTCCAGGAGTGAGTCACTGTGCCAGGCCTAGGGCTTCCACTGATTTCCCCTAGTCTCATTCATCCTCGTATCACTCATGTATTCAATGTCTACCGTGCATGGCATTGTGCTAGAGTCCGGCGGTCCAGTGGGGAGCAATAGCAGACATAAACCCTGCACTCATGGAACTCACAAAGTATTAACCAAATCACTGCATAGTGTATTGGTTACAGAGCACTTTAAGCTGTTGTAAAAAAGAATCTCCCGGCCAGGTGCAGTGGCGCACACCTGTAATCCTAGCACTTTGGGAGGCCAAGGCAGGTGGATCACCTGAGGTCAGGAGTTCGAGAGCAGCCTGATTAACATGGTGAAACCCTGTCTCTACTAAATACAAAAAATTAGCCTGGTGTGGTGGTGCATGCCTGTAATCCCAGCTACTCGGGAGGCTGAGGCAGGAGAATCACTTGAACCCGGGAGGCGGAGGTTTCACTGAGCCGAGGTCGTGCCATTGCACTCCAGCCTGGGCAACAAGAGCCAAGCTCCATCTCATAAAAAAGAGAGAGAGAGAGAAAAAAAGAATCTCCTTCACCACCGGAAAAAAACTAGATATAAATGTACCTCTCTCTCACTTAACAGTAAATCACTGGGCAATCTCAACGATTTACTTGTTAAGGTGGGATGGTTTTGCTTTTATCAACATGTAGCTTTAATTTCTGGTTCTGAGCCCCAAGAAAGAGGAGAGGACAGAGAGAAAAGGGCTCACACAATTATTATTTTTTTTTTTTTCCGAGTTGGAGTCTTGCTCTGTCGCCCAGGCTGGAGTGCAGTGGCGCGATCTCGGCTCACTGCAAGCTCCGCCTCCCGGGTTCACGCCATTCTCCTGCCTCAGCCTCCCAAGTAGCTGGGACTACAGGCGTCCACCACCACACCCGGCTAAATTTTTTTGTATTTTTAGTAGAGACGGGGTTTCACCGTGTTATCCAGGATGGTCTCGATTTCCTGACCTCGTGATCCGCCTGCCTCAGCCTCCCAAAGTACTGGGATTACAGGCGTGAGCCACTGCGCCCGGCCCACACAATTATTTTTTAAGAGCAGGACCTAGAATTTGAGCATGTATCTTCCTATCGCATCCCATTGGCTAGAACTTAGTCTCATGGACAGGTCTAGCCGCAAAAGTGACTGATGGAAATATGGTCTCTAGCCTGTGCCCTTCTAAAAATGAGGGTGGGAGGGGGTGGGATAGGTGCAGTGGCTCACTCATAATCCCAGCATTTTGGGAAACTGAGGCAGGAGGATGGCTTGAGGCCAAGAGTTTGAGACTCCCTTCTCTATTCAAAAAAAAAAAAAAAAATACAGTAGGCCAGGTGCGGTGGTTCACGCCTGTAATCCCAGCACTTTGGGAGGCCAAGGCAGGCAGATCACCTGAGGTCAGGAGTTGGAGACCACCCTGGCCAATATAGTGAAACCCCGACTCTACTAAAAATACAAAGCTGTAATCCCAGCTACTCGGGAGGCTGAGGCAGGAGAATCACTTGAACCCTGGAGGCAGAGGTTGCAGTGAGCTGATACACGCCATTGCACTCCAGCCTGGGCCACAGAGCGAGACTCCGTCTCAAAAAAAAAAAAAAAAAAAAAAAACAACGAATAAAACAAAAAAACAAAAAACAAACAAAAAAAAGTTTAATGATTTTTCTTCTCTCTAGGAGAAAATATGGAAGTAAAACAGGACCCATCTGAAGATCGTGTGTCCTCTGCTGATTTTAAATAGCCATGGAAAGTTAATGCCACCGCAAGGGGCAGCCCCGCCCTGGCACTCTGGAAACCTGGTACTTATCCACGCAATCAGAGGCTTGAACCACAGCTAAGCTGAGTCTCGGCGGGACCTCTTCTGATCCTCCGGGCACACAAGAGGATTGGGGGCTGGGGAGGAGCTGCTTCAAGGCCACCTCCGTTTTACCTCCCGTGATACCGTGATATAGTAAGAAATATGTACTTGGTCTTCAGCTTTGGTTCCAAAGACACCCTTCTCACCCCATCACTCTGGAATTTCCAAAAACCCTTGGTGAGAAGGGTGTCTTTTGTTATTTATAAGGAGCCTCTTTTCTCTCTTTCTCTCTTTCTTGCTTCCTTCCTTCCTTGCCTCCCTCCCTCCCTCCTTCCTTTTCTCTTTTCTTTTTTCTTCTTTCTTTATTTTTCTTTCTTTCTTTCTTTCTTTCTTTCTCTCTTTTCTTCTTTCTTTCTCTCTTCCCTTTCTCTCCCTTTCCTTTCCTTTCTCTCCCTTCCCCTCCCCTCCCCTCTCCTCTCCTCTCTTTTCCTTTCTTTTCCTTCCTTTCCTTCTTTCCTCTAATCCCAGCACTTTGGGAGGCCAAGGCGGGCGGATCTCTTGAGGTCAGGAGTTTCAGACCAGCCTGGCCAACATGGTGAAACCTCGTCTCTACTAAAAATACAAAAATTAATCGGGCATGGTGGCAGGCACCTGTAATTCCAGCTACTCTGGAGGCTGAGGCAGGAGAATCCCTTGAACTAGGATGCAGAGGTTGCGGTGAACCGAGATCTCACCACTGCACTCCAGCCCGGGCTACAGAGCGAGACTCCGTCTCAAGGAAATATAAAAGAAAATAAAATAAATGTCTCCCAAAGAGACAAGTCAGATTAGCCTAAACCCAGGAATAACTACAAGCAGTTTGAGGGCCAAAGGCAAGGTAGGGGCTGGCCAGATCCGATCTCCTTCACTGCCATCGTTTGCTCACTCTCGTAATTTTTGCAAAGGAGGTTTCAATTGCATGGTTGTCAGCGAACATCCTATTCATCCATTTCTTGCTTTCTACCAGTAAAATTGAACTTTATAGGCCTGCTTTGTGCTTTTAAGGCTAACTAGCAAAATTCCAGAGTTTAGCCTTAAAAAATATTTATAATTGGCCGGGCACAGTGGCTTACACCTGTAATCCCAGCACTTTGGGAGGCTGAGGCGGGTGGATCACAAGGTCCGGAGATCGAGACCATCTTGGCTAACATGGTGAAACTCCGTCTCTACTAAACACACACACACACACACACAAAAGTAGCCGGGTGTAGTGGCACACGCCTGTAGTCCCAGCACTTTGGAAGGCTGAGGTGGGCGGATCATGAGGTCAGGAGATCGAGACCATCCTGGCTAACATGGTGAAACCCCGTCTCTACTAAAAATACAAAAAAAAAAAAAAGTAGCCGGGCGTAGTGGCACATGCCTGTAGTCCCAGCTACTTGGGAGGCTGAGGCAGGAGAATCACTTGAACCCGGGAGGCAGAGGTTGCAGTGAGCTGAGATTGTGCCATTGCACTCCATCCTGGGTGACAGAGTGAGACTCCATCTAAAAAAAAAAATTCTTTATAATTGATCAAAAGAAGTTTAAGAAATGGATTAAGAAGATCTCTTCTTTGCAGCTGTAGGGGAGGAGAGGGAGCTAGAGAGAGAGAGGGCATTGAGAGAGGAGAAAAAGATATTCTGTGCCATAAAACTAATTCAAGAATGTAGTTTAGGCGAGGCATGGTGGTTCACACCTGTAATCCCAGAACTTTGGGAGGTCGAGGCAGGCGGATCACTTGGGCCCAGAAGTTCGAGACCAGCCCTGGCCAACATGGCAAAACACTGTCTCTACTAAAAGTACAAAAATTAGCCCGGCGTGGTGGCACAACCCTGTAATTCCTTGTACTTGGGAGGGCTGGGGCAAGAGAATCACTTGAACCCGAGAGGCAGAGGTTGCAGTGAGTCGAGATCACACCACTGCACTCCAACCTGGGTGACACAGTGAGACCCTGTCTTAAAAAAAAAAAAACAAAAAAAAAAAAAACAGAGTGGGGTGGGGGGCTGGGGGAGGGATAGCATTAGGAGAAATACCTAATGTAAATGATAACTTGATGGGTGGAGCAAACCAACATGGCACATGTATCAAACCTGTACATTATGCACATGTACCCTAGAACTTAAAGTAAAAAAACAAAACAAAACAAACAAACAAAAAAATGGAATGTGGATTGATAAGTTAATAAACTGAGAATATTAAAAAGGCTCTAAATGTGTTTTATAGTCTTATGTAGTATGGAGATCTATGGATATTTATTACAGCAGCCAGTGTTCCATTCTGTGGTTCCATAAATCTGTGCTTTGAAGTGTAATTTGCACAAAATAATCTTGTAGGAGTCCAAAGACATTAGAAATTATTGCCAGTATTGCAATCATTATTTTGAAGGAGAAACCTTGGTGCCATTTGGTGGTCTTACTTAATATTTTGTTGCCCTGGTAACAATCTTATGATTGACATCTGAATTTCCAAGCAGAATAAATGCTTGTAAAAACAATTCTGTTAAATCAGAAGCTATGCATTGGTGTCTGTGTCTTAGTCTGTATTCTGTTGCTTAGAACAGAACACTTGAAGCCAGATAACTTATAAAGAAAAGGAATTTATTTCCTGTAGTTAATGGAGGTTGGAAAGTCCAAGGTGGAGGGGCTGCATCTGGTGAGGACCTTCTTGCTGTTGGGGACTCTCTGGAGGGTTCCGAGGTGGCACAGGGCATCACAGGGCAAAAGAGCTGAGCGTGCTACTTAAGTCTCTCTTCCTCTTCTGATAAAGCCACCAGTCTCACTCCCAGGGTAACCCATTAATCCATTAACTCACTAATCCATTAATCCATGAATGGATTAGTTCATTCATGAGAAAAGAGTCCTCATGACCCAATCACCTCTTAAATGCCCGACCTATCAATACGGCCACATTAGGGATTCAGTTTCACCATAAGTTTATTTATTTATTATTTATTTATGTATTTTTTGAGACAATGTCTTGCTATGTCACCCAGGCTGGACAGCAGTGGCATGATCTCAGCTCATTATAACCTCCACCTCCCAGGTTCAAGTGATTCTCCTGCCTCAGCCTCCTGAGTAGCTGGTATTACAGGCACGTGCCACCATGCCCGGGTAATTTTTGTATTTTTAGTAGAGACAGGGTTTCATCATGTTGGCCAGCTAGTCTCAAACTCCTGACCTCATGTGATCTGCCCACCTTGGCTTCCTAAAGTGCTGAGATTACAGGTGTGAGCCACCACACTCAGCTTATTTACCTATTTATTTTTTGAGACAGGGTCTCACTGTGTTGCACAGGCTGGAGTGCAGTGGTGCAATCACGGTTCACTGCATCCTCAGCTTTCTGGGCTCAGGTGATCCTCCCACTTCAGCCTCCTGAGTAGCTGGGATCACAGGCATGTGCCACCTCACCTGGCTAATTTTTAAATTATTTGTAGAGACAGGGTCTCCCTATGTTGCCCAGGCTGGTTCAACATGAGTTTTCAAGGGAACAAATATTCAAACCTTAGCAGCAGGTTAAATGATCTTTCTCCCACATTTATGATCGGAAAAAAAAAATTAAAGCCTGAGACTCTGCTAGACTTCTTACTTTAACAAGAGTCTGAGAGTCTTGTTTCATTTCCATTACAGCATCTATTAATAGTTCTGACTGAGAGAAGAGCTATCCTTTACTTTGACGATTATGAAGAATAGGGGAAAAGACATTAAAAAGACACAATTACACCATTGATGATTTTGTCACAGCTGAGATAAGTGCTGTTAAAGAACTTGCAGGGAAGTCTTTGCTAAAGAAAAGATTCTGAAGCTGGTTTCTGAGGGAAGAGTCAAAGTTAGCCAAGCAAAAATGGGGGAAAAACTCCAGATACAGGAGTTTTCAGGATGTTTCAGGGTCTGAGATGGGAAGGAGGTTATGTGTTCCAACCCAGTGGTTCTCAAACTTGACTGCACATTAGAATTTCCCAGGAACATTTAAAACACAGAATGAGACACCCAGGCCTCATCCTATACCCATTATAAAAATTAAAATCTCGACTGGGCACGGTGGCTCACACCTGTAATCCCAGCACTTTGGGAGGCCAAGGTGGGCAGATCACCTGAGGTCAAGAGTTCAAGACCAGCCTGACCAACATGGAGAAATCCCATCTCTACTAAAAAATACAAAATTAACTGGGTGTGGTGGCACTTGCCTGTAATCCGAGCTACTTGGGAGGCTGAGGCAGGAGAATCGCTTGAACCCGGGAGGCAGAGGTTGCAGTGAGCTGAGATCATGCCATTGCACTTCAGCCTGGGCAACAAGAGCAAAATTCCATCTTAAAAAAACAAAAATAAAAAAATAATTAAAATCTCTCGGTGGGACTCAGGCACTCAGTAAATATATATATATCTATTTCCATTGACCATAACACATGACAGACTAAAGATGGCCTCCAATTCTTTGTCACTGTCCCTATAGAGAGGTAGAGTTTATTTTCCCTCCCCTTGAATCTGGCCTTTCCTTAAGACTGTAGAAGAAGAGAAACTGTGTCAGTTCCAGGCTTAGTCTTTAAAGGGACAAACAACTTTTGCCTTCTTTATTTTATTTATTTATTTATTTATTTGAGACAGAGTCTCATTCTGTTGCCCAGGCTGGAGTGCAGTGGTGTGATCTCGGCTCACTGCAACTTCCGCCTCCCAGGTTCAAGCAATTCTCCTGCCTCGGCCTCCTGAGTAGCTGGGATTACAGGTGTGCACAAACACACCCGGCTAATTTTTTTTAATTTTGTTTTTAGTAGAGACGGGGTTTTACCATGTTGGCCAGGCTGATGTTGAACTCCTGACCTCAGGTGATCCACCCACCTCGGCCTCCCAAAGTGCTGGGATTACAGACGTGAGCCACCATGCCCAGCCGCCTTCTCTATTTTAGAAAGCTCTCTTGTGACATCCCCTCTTGAAACCCAGATGCTATCCTCCAAGAAGTCTGAATCAAATGGAGAGGCCATGTGCAGGTACATCATTCAACAGTCCTAGCCGAGCTTTCAACCAACATCCAGCATCAACAGCCAGCCATTTGCAAGTGCCATCTTGGAGATTCCAGCTCAGTTGAGCCACCCTGATGACTGAAGCCCAGGAAGACATCACATTGAACCGAAGAACCGCTCAACTGAGCCCAGTCATCTCACCAGATCAGGAATGATTAAAAAAAAAAAAAAACAAGATTGTTACTCTAAGTTACTCAGTTTTGGGGTGGTTTGTTAACACAGTAATTGATAACCTAAACCCAAAAGAGAACTAAATAATGATGACTTAAAACTAATACCAATTGATTTCTCCCTTATGTAGAATAAATCTGAAGGGAGCAGTCCAAGGCTGGCACAGTGACTCCAAAAAGCATTATGGACCTAAGTTACTTCTGGCTCACCCTCCACCATCTTGAACCTCATCTCATCTTCATGGTTCAAGATGACGCTAGAATACCAGTCATCACATCCACATTTTAGGCAGTTAAGTGAAGGAAGGAAAGTGTACTTCATTAAAGAACCTTTTGGAAGCTGTCTACAATATTTATGCTTATTTATCATTGTCCTAGATGAAGACTTACGGCTACATCTACCTGTAAGTGACACTGAAGAATGTAGTTTTTTACCTGGGTGCCAATGGGCCCAGCTAAAAATCAGAATTCTCAACAGCAAAAGGATGGCTTTGAGATAATCATGTAGATTATGTGCAGATAACTACAGATAAGTCCCCTCCCCCAAGTCTATTTTAAATTTTCTCCTGGAGTATTTTAAAGTAAACCTCAGATATAATATGATTTCATCTATAAGACTTTTTATTTTGGTAACATATTCTTAAGGTTAGGTGTGATAAACACCTAACAAAGTGAATGATTATTTATTTATTTATTTTATTATTATTTTTTGAGATGGAGTTTCACTCTTGTTGCCCAGGCTGGGGTACAATGGTGCGATCTCAGCTCACTGCCACCTCCCCCTCCCAGGTTCAAGTGATTCTCCCACCTCAGCCTCCTGAGAAGCTGGGATTACAGGTATATACCACCAAGCCTGGCTAATTTTTGTATTTTTTGTAGAGATGGGATTAGGCCATGTTGCCCAGGCTGGTGTTGAACTCCTGGGATCAAGCCTTCCACCTACCTCACCTCCCAAAATCTTAGGATTACAGGTGTGATCCACCTTGCCTGGCCCTAAGCTATTCTTTATTCTTTCTTTTTTCGTTTTTTGAATCAGGGTCTCCTTTCTTCATTTCCAAGTGGAATGGAACTTTACCAGGCCTTTCCTGTTGACTGATAAAATTCCAGAGCCTAGTTTTAAAATATGCATATTCCTTGTTAGCAACAGAGATGTTAAGAAGAAATATAGGAGATGTCCTCTTTTCCCTGATACTGCATAAGGAGAAAGATTTTTTCTGAGTCACAACACTAATTTAAGGAATCTGATTTGATAAAGAGTTGAATTGAGAAGATTCACAAGAATATCAGTCTTGTTTTCTGGTACAATATGGAGAACTAAATGAATATTCACAAACATTACTAAATTGTTCTCTGTTGAAATAAATTCATACACAAAACTGTTATTTGAACAAAAGGGTCTTGTAAGAGTCCCAAGCCTTTAAAAATCATTGCCACATCTTGTGAAAATAACTTTCAAAGAAACACCTGTAATTATAGTTGGTTTTACTCCTTATAATTTGTTGCCTTGTTGACTTTTCTATGTTCCAAAACAGTAAGAAGAGTAGGTGCTATCAAGACAAAAAATCCGAAAACAAAAACGAGACTTCGGGGCATTTTGCTCTTCTTCCAAATGCAAGATGAAAAAAAACATGGTTAAAAACTAACTTGCTTGATTTCTTATTTTAACAAAAAAATAAAAAATTTTGTCTGATTCAAATTAACATTTTTTTTTTTTTTTTTGAGACTGAGTCTCACTCTGTTGCCCAGGCTGGAGTGCAATGGTGCGATCTCAGCTCACTGCAACCTTTGCCTCCCAGGTTCAAGCAGTTCTCCTGCCTCAGCCTCCTGAGTAGCTGGGATTACAGGCGTGCACCACCACGCCCAGCTAATTTTTGTATTTTTAGTAGAGATGAGGTTTCACCATGGTTGGCCAGGCTGGTCTCGAACTCCTGACCTCAGGTTATCTACCTGCCCCGGTCTCCCAAAGTGTTGGGATTACAGGCATGAGCCACTGCGCCAGGCTAAATTAACATAATTATCAAATGCAATCTGTAGACTTTTATTGGATCCTGATTTATTCTTTAAAAACCTGATAGAAATGACATTTTTGAGACAATCAGGGAAATTTGAGTACTGAATGGGTATTAGCTGGTATCAAGGAGGTACTCTTAACTTTCTTGATGTGACAGTGCTGTGGTGCTTATATTATTTTTAAAATGGTTCTTATTTGATAAAGATAGATATGTACTGAAATATTCTGAACTTAAAAAATGAGCTCATGACTGGCTGGGCACAGTGGCTCATGCCTGTAATCCCAGCACTTTGGGAGGCTGAGGTGGGTGGATCACTTGAGATCAGGAGTTTGAGACCAGCCTGGCCAACATGGTGAAACCTCATCTCTACTAAAAAATACAAAAATTAACTGGGCATGTTGAAGGGCTCCTGTAATCCCAGCTACTTGGGAGGCTGAGGCAGGAGAACCGCTTGAACCTGGGGGGTGGAGGTTGCAATGAGATGAGATTTTGCCACTTCACTCCAGCCTGGGCGAAAGAGTGGAACTCTGTCTCAAAAGAAAAAAAAAAAATGGTGATGAAGGCCTGGCACAGTGGCTCATGCCTGTAATCCCAGCAGTTTGGGAGGCCGAGGCAGGTGGATCACTTGAGGCGAGGAGTTCAAGACTAGCCCAGCTAACTTGTGAAACCTCATCTTAACTAAAAATACAAACATTAGCCGGGCATGGTGGCATGCGCCTATAATCCCAGCTACTTGGGAGGCTGAGGCCGGAGAATTGCTTGAACCCAGGAGGCTGAAGTTGCAATGACCTGAGATCGTGCCACTGGACTCCAGCCCAGGTAACAGAACCAGACACCATCTCAAAAAAAAAAAAAAGAGTGAAGTGCTTTCATCTCTTCAATACGAACCCTTCAGGGCCAAGTCTGAAGCATTTTCGGGGTTACCTGTTTGATGCCTGAAATCTGCCTGAGACAGAGGAGCATTTCCTGTGAGTCAAGTGCTCGAACACTGGTGTGTGTAAGGAGCATGTTGCAATCAGCAACATCAACATGTTTCCTGAATGTGGATATGGGAGGGGAAACTGAAAGGCTAGGAAAGGCTGTTACTGCCCACACTCTGGGGTGGGAGAGAGGCAGCGACGACTCCAGCTCTTCTCCCATCTGTGGACTGCAGAACCCAAGACGGACTCTGGGAGGGCTAAGGAGCCATCATGATCCCTAAGCTGCTTTCCCTCCTCTGTTTCAGTAAGTCTCACAGGGCTATCCACTGGGACTGCAGAAAATCATGGAACTGGTGGGATAGTTGGGCTGGGGATGGAAATAATAACATCAACTTTGGCTTACTGAGCACACGGGAGGAGTGAGACGTCCTGCTGAGTGCAGTGCAGACATTCCCTGGAAACGAGTGCTCTGCAAACTTCAACTCCTGTAGTTTCAACTTCGTGAGTTTTGCTGAATGCCTCCACCACCTGGCTTCATTGGCTTACCCCTTTTCTCAGGATCAACTCTGACTTTTTGTGTGTAAGTAAAAGTATTCAGAATAGAAACCTTATTTTATTTTATTTTATTTTATTTTTTTGAGACAGAGTTTTGCTCTTGTTGCCCAGGCTGTAGTGCAATGGCATGATCTCGGCTCACCACAACCTCTGCCTCCCGGGTTCAAGCGATTCTCCTGCTTCAGCCTCCTGAGTAACTGGATTACAGGGGTGCGCCACCATGCCTGGTTAATTTTTGTATTTTTAGTAGAGACAGTGTTTCACCATGTTGGCCAGGCTGGTCTCGAACTCCCGACCTCAGGTGATCTGCCCACCTCAGTCTCTCAAAGTGCTGGGATTACAGATGTGAGCCACTGTGCCTGGCCCAGAAACCTTAATACCATAAATAAAAATTTAGTGTCAAATAGATAACTATAAAGTAAATTGAGGCCGCTGTGTAACCATCACCACTATCTACACTAAAACCTCTTTCTTTCTTCCTTCCTTCCTTCCTTTCTTTCTTTTTCTCCTTCCCTTCCTTCCTTCCTTCCTTCCTTCCTTCCTTCCTCCCTTCCTTCCTCTCTCTCTCTTTCTTTCTTTTTTTTTTTTTTGAGATGGAGTCTCGCTCTGTCGCCCAGGCTGGAGTGCAGTGGTGCGATCTCTGCTCACTGCAAGCTCCGCCTCCCGGGTTCACGCCATTCTCCTGCCTCAGCCTCCCGAGTAGCTGGGACTACAGGCGCCCGCCACCATGCCCGGCTTTTTTCGTAGGTTTCACTGTGTTAGCCAGGATGGTCTCCATCTCCTGACTTCTTGATCTGCCCGCCTCGGCCTCCCAAAGTGCTGGGATTACAGGCGTGAGCCCCCGCTTGCTTGCCTGCTTGCTTGCTTGCTTGCTTTCTTTCTTTCTTTCTTTCTTTCTTTCTTTCTTTCTTTCTTTCTTTCTTTCTTTCTTTCTTTCTTTCTTCCTTCCTTCCTTTCTTTCTTTCTCTTTCTCCTTCATTCCTTCCTTCCTCTCTCTCTTTCCCTTCCTTCCTTCCTTCCTTACTTCCTTCCTTCCTTCCCTCCTTTTCCTTTTTTTGAGACAAAGTCTCACTCTGTACCCAGGCTGGAGTGCAGTGGTATGACCACAGCTCACTGCAGCCTCCACCTCCTGGGCTCAAGCAATTCTCCTGCCTCAGCCTCCTGGGTAGCTGAGATTACAGGTGCCCACCACACACCCGGCTGATTTTTTGTACTTTTTAGTAGAGACGGGGTTTCATCATGTTGGCCAGGCTGGTCTTGAGCTCCCTCAGGTGATCACCTCAGGTGATCTGCCCGCCTCAGCCTCAGCCTCCCAAAGTGCTGGGATTACAGGCGTGAGCCACAGTGCCCCGTGTAATTTTTAAATTTTTTGTAGAGACGGGATCTCACTATGTTACTCAGGCTGGTCTCAAACTCCTGGCCTCAAGCAGCCCTTCTGCCTTGGCCTCCCAAAGTGCTGGGATTACAGGCGTGAGCCACTGTGGTGGCTCTGCCACCTTTTTCTCCCATCCTGGCCCTCAGCAGAATACCCACCTCCATTAGGAAGGCCAACCTGCCCGACTCAGCATTAGATTCAAATGCTGATCTTTCTAAAAACACCCTCACAGACACGCCCAGAAATAATGTTTAACCAGATATCCCAGCATCCTGTGGCCTGGTCTAGCTGATAAATCAAATTAACAATCACAATTCCCAATATGAACGCTACACCCTCTAACCAATAACTCTGTATTTGCCGCGGTCCTCCCAGCCCCTGGTAACCTCCATTCTAATTTCTTTTTTTTTTTTTTTTTTTCGGAGATGGAGTCTTGCTTCGTCACCCAGGCTGGAGTACAGTGGCCTAATCTCAGCTCACTGCAACCTCCGCCTCCTGGGTTCAAGCGATTCTCCTGCCTCTCCCTCCCGAGTAGCTGGGATCACTGGCGCTCACCACCATGCCTGGCTAAGTTTTTTTTTTTTTTTTTTTTAGTAGAGACAAGGTTTCACCATGTTGACCAGGCTGGTCTCGATCTCCTGACTTTGTGATCTGCCTGTCTCGGCCTCCCAAAGTGCTGGGATTACAGGCGTGAGCCACCGTGTCCAGCCCATTCTAATTTTTATCTCTATGAATTTGCTTATTCTAGGATGTATGAGTGGAATCATAACACTTGTTCTTTTTTGCCTGACTTAGTTTACTCAGCATAATATCCTCGAGCTACATCTATATTGTAGGATATGTCAGATTTCCTTTCCTTTTTATGGCTAAAATCCCACTGTAGGCCGAGCACAGTGTCTCACACCTGTAATCCCAGCACTTTGAGAGTCTGAGGCAGGCAGATCGCTTGAGCCCAGGAGTTCGAGACTAGCCTGGGCAACATGGTGAAACCCTGTCTCTACAAAAAATACAAAAATGAGGCTGGGCATGGTGGCTCACGCCTGTAATCCCAGCACTTTTTTTGCAATGACCTGACGTAAGGAGTTCGAGAACAGCCTGGCCAATAGGGTGAAACCCCATTTCTACTAAAAATATAAAAATTAGCCATGCGTGGTGGCGGGCGCCTGTAATCCCAGCTACTTGGGAGGCTGAGGCAAGAGAATCGCTTGAACCCAGGAGTCAGAGGTTGCAGTGAGCCGAGATCATGCCATTGCACTCCAGTCTGGGCAACAAGAGCGAAACTCCATCTCAAAATAAATAAATAAATATTAAAAACAACAACAACAACAAAAATGAGCTGGGCATGGTGGTGTGCAGCTGTAGTCCCAGCTACTCGGGAGGCAGAGGTGGGAGGATCACCTGAGCCCAGGGAGTTGATGCTGGAATGAACTAGGATCACATCATTGCACTCCAGCCTGGGCAGCAGAGCGAGACCCTGCCTCAAAAAAAAAAAAAAAAAAAAAAGAAAGAAAGAAAAGAAAAAGAAAAAAGCATTTTGGAGGCTAAGATGGGCGGATCACCTGAGGTGGGGAGTTCAAGACCAGCCTGACCAACATGGTGAAACCCTGTCTCTACTAAAAAATACAAAATTAGCTGGGCATGGTGGTGCATGCCTGTAATCCCAGCTACTTGGGAGGCTGAGGCAGGAGAATCACTTGAACCCACAAGGCGGAGGTTGCAGTGAGCTGTAATCCCAGCTACTTGGGAGGCTGAGGCAGGAGAATCACTTGAACCTGCAAGGCGGAGGTTGCAGTGAGCTGTAATCCCAGCTACTTGGGAGGCTGAGGCAGGAGAATCACTTGAACCCGCGAGGCGGAGGTTGCAGTGAGCCGAGATCGCGCCATTGCACTCCAGCCTGGGCAACAAGAATGAAACTATGTCTCAAAAAAAAAAAAAAAAAAAACGAAGAAAAAGAAGAAAAATCCCATTGAATATATAGAGCACACTGTGTTTATCCATTCTTCCATGGATGGACACTTACGTTGTTTGAACATTTTGGGTGTTCACAATTTCCTTTTGCAAAACTTGAAGTGTCAGTTTATGGATTGGCTCATGGATGTAATAGTAGCACAAACGCCTGGTAACTTCTCCTTTTTCCTGCTGAGACCTAAAACTGTTCACACAGGGGAAAAAGAGGAAATCTCTCAGAGACACAGGCCTAACTAACTTTCTTTGAGTTAGATCAATCTCATTATTATGATAATGTTCATAAACAGGCTTGATATTATGTTTTTTCTTTTCTTTCTCTTTTTTTTTTCTTTCCTGAAACTGAGTCTCGCGCTGTGGCCAGGCTGGAGTGCAGTGGTGCGATCTCAGCTCATTGCAAACTCTGCCTCCTGGGTTCAAGCGATTCTCTGCCTCAGCCTCCTGAGTAGCTGGGATCACAGGCGCCCATCACCACACCTGGCTAATTTTTGTATTTTTAGTATAGACGGGGTTTCACCATGTTGGCCAGGCTGGTCTTCAACTCCTGACCTCGTGATCCACCTGCCTCGGCCTCCCAAAGTGCTGGGATTACAGGCGGGAGCCACCGCGCCCGGCATGGTCAAGAGTTCTTAACCAGCCCAGCCCTGTCTCTATCAAAAAAAATTAAAAAGGAGGAAGAGCAAATGCAGCCATGTGTGAAACAGGGAGGAACGTATGCTTTCCCCTTTCTGGAATGACCATTTGGATGTTTTGAGGCTTGTTACAGGACACCAAACAATAAATTTTGTCCTGTTTGGAGTCATGAAGGGATTAAAAGAGATCATGAGCCTGGGCAACATAGGGAGACTCTGTCTCTGGGAAAGACTAAAAAATTAGCCGGGTGTGGTGGTGCACACCTGTGATCCCAGCTACTCGGGAGGCTGAGGTGGGAGGATCACTTGAGCCTGGGAGGCTACAGTGAGCCATGATGGAGCCACTGCACTCCAACCTGGGCAACAGAGAGAGACCCTGTCTCAAAACACAATAATAAAATGAAAAATTAAAAAATAAAAAGAAGCTGGGCACAAAGCTCATGCCTGTAATCCCGGCACTTTGGGAGGCCGAGGTGGGTGGATCACCTGAGGTCAGGAGTTCGAGACCAGCCTGGCCAATATGGTGAAACCCTGTCTCTACTAATAATACAAAACTCAGCCGGGCGTCCTGGCGCATGCCTGTGATCCCAGCTATTTGGGAGGCTGAGGCAGGAGAATCACTTGAACCCGGGAGGCGGAGGTTGCAGTGAGCCGAGATTGCGTCACTCTACTCCAGCCTGGGCGACAGAGCGCAACTCTGTCTCTGGAATGAATGAAAGAAAGAAAGAATGAATGAAAGAAAGAAAGAATGAATGAAAGAAAGAAAGAAAGAAAAAGAAAGAAAGAGCGAGACTCTGTCTCTGGAATGAATGAAAGAAAGAATGAATGAAAGAAAGAAAAAAGAAAGAAAGAAAGGAAAGAAAAAGAAAGAAAGAAAGAAATGGTAAGAATGAGTGCTGTTTTCAAACAGAAGATGAGAATGGAAGGATTTGTGGGAAAGGCCTGGAGCAGGGGGAGGTGACAGCCACACAGGATGGTCAAGGAGAATCGCTGGGAAAGGATGGAGGAGCTGGAAGTCGAGCAGAAGCCACAGTCCAGTGTGGGGAGAATGAGAACTCCTGAGCGTATGACCTCTAAGGGTCTGTTCTCAGCAGGAGACTCTGGGACGATCTCCAGGGGTCAGGGCAGGGGGTGACGTGGCTCCAGGTAGGGGCTTCTGGCTCACGGAGGATTGTCTTGCAGGACTGTGCGTGGGCCAAGGAGACACAAGGGGAGATGGTGAGTGTTTCTTCAACTACACCCTCCTTGGCCTGTCATCCCAAATCCCCTGCTGTTCTCTTCCCCTTCCCCCTCTTTTTCTCTTTTTTTTTTGACGGAGTCTCACTCTTTCGCCAGGCTGGAGTGCGGTGGTGCAATCTCGGCTTACAGCAACCTCCGCCTCCTGGGCTCAAGTGATTCTCCTGTCTCAGCCTCCCAAGTAGCTGGGACTACGGGTGCTTGCCACCACGCCCAGCTAATTTTTGTATTTTTAGTAGAGACGGAGTTTCACCATGTTGGCCAGGATGGTCTCGATCTCATGACCTCGTGATCTGCCTGCCTTGGCCTCCCAAGGTGCTGGGATTACAGGCGTGAGCCACCGCACCCAGCCCGCTTCCCTTCTTAAAATGGGATTCCTGATTGGGCTCAGGGGTTCACGCCTGTAATCCCAGCACTTTGGGAGGCCAAGGTGGGTGGATCACCTGAGGTCAGGAGTTCGAGACCAGCCTGGCCAACATGGTGAAACCTTGTCTCTACTAAAATACAAAATTAGCTGGGTGTGGTGGTGCGTGCCTGTAATCCCACCTACTTGGGAGGCTGAGGCAGGAGAATTGCTTTAACCCAGGAGACGGAGGTTGCAGTGAACTGAGATTGCACCACTGCACTCTAGCCTGGGCAACAGAGGGAGACTCCATCTCAAAATAATAATAATAATAATAAATTTTAAAAAGGGCTTCCTGAGAGCAGGGGAGGGCATCGGGTCCAGCATCAGGCTCTGCTTCCTTCCAGGGTCACTGCCCAAGCCGTCCCTCAGTGCCTGGCCCAGCTCGGTGGTCCCTGCCAACAGCAATGTGACGCTGCGATGTTGGACTCCTGCCAGAGGTGTGAGCTTTGTTCTCAGGAAGGGAGGAATTATTCTGGAGTCCCCGAAGCCCCTTGATTCTACAGAGGGCGCGGCCGAATTTCACCTCAATAATCTAAAAGTCAGAAATGCTGGAGAGTACACCTGTGAATACTACAGAAAAGCATCCCCCCACATCCTTTCACAGCGCAGTGACGTCCTTCTACTGTTGGTGACAGGTACAGACAGGGTGCCTGCCAATGACATACGGGGGACAGGGGATGAGGGAGGAAGTGGAGGAACAGAGGGAGAAAAGGGGTCCCACCTTCAGAGTAGTTGGGGGTGATGGGAGAGGGAGAGAGACAGGAACGAAATTGCATATGTTGGTTTTATACTTTGTCGCCCAGGCCAGAGTGCAGTGGTGCCATCTCGGCTCACTGCAACTTCCGCCTCCTGGGCTCAAGTGATTCTCCTGCTCCAGCCTCCTGAGCAGCTGGGATTACAGGTGCCTGCCACCATGCCCGGCTAATTTTTGTATTTTTAGTAGAGACAGGGTTTCGCCATGTTGGGCAGGCTGGTCTCGAACTCCTGACCTCAGGTGATCCACCCGCCTTGGCCTCCCAAAGTGCTGGGATTACAGGTGTGAGCCACCATGCCAGGCCTTACACAGGTCTTGTAGGAGGGAGAATCTCTGTCCTGGGGTCGGAGTAGGAAGTGGAGGAAGGTAGAAGAGATCAGGAATCTCTCATTTCCCACACTCCACGAGAGCCTCCGGCCAGGAGAACAGGGGTGAGTGGGGGATTCCAGACTTCTCCCCAGGACCTCAGAACCTGACTTCTCTTACAGGACATTTATCTAAACCTTTCCTCCGAACCTACCAAAGGGGTACAGTGACCGCAGGTGGAAGGGTGACTCTGCAGTGCCAGAAGCGAGACCAATTGTTTGTGCCTATCATGTTCGCTCTACTGAAGGCAGGGACGCCATCACCCATCCAGCTGCAGAGTCCAGCGGGGAAGGAGATAGACTTCTCTCTGGTGGACGTGACAGCCGGCGATGCTGGGAACTACAGCTGCATGTACTACCAGACAAAGTCTCCCTTCTGGGCCTCAGAACCCAGTGATCAGCTTGAGATATTGGTGACAGGTAAGGGCGTGTATGGTTTTGAGGAACTGTGTGTGTTGTTTTTAATCAGAGATTGTTTTGTTCTTCTGTGAATCTCATTTCTTCATTACTTACAATATCATCGCTCTTAACAAAATCTTCCCTTTCTGGCCTGGCGTGGTGGCTCATGCCTGTCATCCCAGCACTTTGGGAGGCCGAGGTGGATGGATCATCTGAGGTCAAGGATTTGAGACCAGCCTGGCCAACATAGTGAAACCCCGTCTCTACTAAAAATAAAAAATTAGCCAGGTATGATGGCATGCACCTGTAGACCCAGCTACTTGGGAGGCTGAGGCAGGAGAATTGCTTGAACATGGGAGGCGGAGGTTGCAGTGAGCCAAGATCTTGCCACTGCACTCCAGCCTGGGCAATAGAGTGAGACTCTGTCTCAAAAACAAAAAACAAAAAACAAAAACAAAAACAACAAAACAACAAAAAAACCTCCCTTTCACAATTTCCACTCCTTTGCCTTTTTTTTTTTTTTTTTTTTTTGAAATGGAGTCTCACTCTGTTGCCAGGATGGAGTGCAATGGCGCGATCTTCGCTCACTGCAACCTCCACCTTCCAGGTTCAAGTGATTCTCCTGCCTCAGCCTCCCAAGTA
Organism: Homo sapiens; assembly: GCF_000001405.40. Lineage (NCBI taxonomy): Eukaryota > Metazoa > Chordata > Mammalia > Primates > Hominidae > Homo > Homo sapiens. The sequence goes on along the minus strand of NW_003571054.1, from coordinate 47,663 downwards.
GCTAGGATTACAGGCCTGCACCACCCATCCGGCTAATTTTTCTATTTTTAGTAGCGATGAAGGTTTCACCGTGTTGACCAGGCTGGTCTTGAACTCCTGACCTCAGGTGATCTGCCTGCCTCGGCCTCCCAAAGTGCTGGGATTACAGGTGTGAGCCACCGTGCCCGGCCCTCCTTTGCCTTTTTGTTATACTACATCCTTGGAAAATTTCTAGGCTGTTTTTGAAAATTATGAATCTACCAGCACCAGATTCCTTCTACCAGTCTTTGCATCTCTTAGCGTTTTGGTTTTTTGTTTTGTTTTGTTTCATTTTGTTTTTGAGACAGAGTCTCGCTCTGTTGCCCAGGGTGGAGTGCAGTGGTGCGATCTCAGCTCACTGCAACCTCTGCCTCCCGAGTTTAAGCAATTCTCCTGCCTCAGCCACTTGAGTAGCTGGGATTACATGTGCCCACCACCACGCCTGGCTAATTTTTGTATTTTTAGTAGAGATGGGGTTCTGACCATGTTGACCAGGCTGGTCTTGAACCCCTGGCCTCAGGTGATCCACTCACCTCGGCCTCCCAAAGGGCTGGGATTGCAGGTGTGAACCACTGTGCATGGCGTGTTTTGGTTTTTCTTGGTGTTAGTGATTTCACTCTCAATAATTCTTTCTCAGTCATGTGCGGTGGCTCAGGCCTGTAATCCCAGCACTTTGGGAGGCTGAGGCTGGAGAATTGCTTGAGCCCAGGAGTTTGAGACCAGCCTGGGCAACATAGTGAGACCCAGTTTCAAATTAAAAAAAAAAATTATCTCATCCTCAGAACATGGTGTTTGCACAGCCTCCTGCTTCTATGCCGTGGATGCGAAGTCTACCCATGTCTTTTATTGACTGCTAGAATTCTTCTGAAAGTATCTTGTTTCCTGCCTTACTGGGTGCTAGCACTCTGCTTCCTCAGCTCTGTAAATTATTTTTCATCTATTGTAACTGCTGTAATGAGTTACATTACAGCTCTTGCCGGGTGCCTGGATGAAGCCCATTCATCAAGACAGAGGAATTGCAAAAAAGAGTTTAATACACATTGAGCCAGGTAAGTGGGAGACCAGAGTTTTTTTGTTTGTTTGTTTGTTTGAGACGGAGTCTTGCTCTGTCGCCCAGGCTGGAGTGCAGTGGCGCGATCTCGGCTCAATGAAACCTCTGCCTCCCAGGTTCAAACGATTCTTCTGCCTCAGCCTCCCGAGTAGCTGGGACTATATGTGTGCCACCCTGCCTGGCTAATTTTTGTATTTTTAGTAGAGATGGGGTTTTACCATATTGGCCAGGCTGGTCTCGAACTCCTGACCTCGTGATCTGCCCGCTTGGGCCTCCCAAAGTGCTGGGATTACAGGCATGAGCCACTGCACCTGGCCAATCAGAGTTTTATTATTACTCAAATCAGCCTCCCTGAAAATCTGGAGGCTAGGGTTTTGTTTGTTTGTTTGTTTTCTTTGAGATGGAGTCTCACTCTGTCGCCCAAGCTGGAGTGTAGTGGCACAATCTGAGCTCACTGCAGCCTCCACCCCCCAACCCCAGGCCCAGGTCAAGTAATTCTCCTGCCTCAGCCTCCTGAGTAGCTGGGATTACAGGCACCCGCCACCACACCCGGCTAATTTTTTTGTATTTTTAGTAGACATGGGGTTTCGCCATGTTGCCCAGGCTGCTCTCAAACTCCTGGCCTCAAGCAATCCTCCTACCTTAGCCTCCCACAGTGCTGGGATTACAGGCGTGAGCTACTGTGCCCGGCCTCAACTCAAACTTTCTCAGGTGCACTGCTGCACAGCAGTGTGGGCTGCGAGGATGCTGATCCAGCCACGGAATTCGGGGCTCTGTAGAGCTCCTTCCGTCTCATGTGCTGCCCCAAGACTATTCCTTAACATAAGGATGCGGGAGGAGAAAAGGCAATGTGGGAAGGTGGAAATGGGATAAAGAGCAAATAAACGAAGGAAGAGAGCTAAGGTGGAGTGAATATCAAGGAAGGAAGATAAAGGAACTCCCATTACAACTCATTAGGATTGCATATCTTGGCCGGGCGCGGTGGCTCAGGCCTGTAATCCCAGCACCTTGGGAGGCCGAGGCAGGCGAATCACTTGAGGCCAGGAGTTCGAAACCAGTTTGGCCAACATGGCGAAAACCCATCTCTATTAAAAATACAAAAATTAGCCGGGTGTGGTGGTAGGTGCCTGTAATCCTAGCTATTCGGGAGGCTGAGGCAGGAGAATCGCTTGAACCCAGGAGGTGGAGGTTGCAGTGAACCGAGACTGCGTCGCTGCACTCCAGCCTGAGCAACAGAGTGAGACGTCGTCTCAAAAACAACAACAAAGATTCCATCTTTTGTTTTCAGGGATTAAAACTTTAAAGAGCTCAATTATGGCCAGGCATGGTGGTTTATGCCTATAATCCCAACACTTTGGGAGGCCAAGGCGGGTGGATCACCTGAGGTCAGGAGTTCGAGACCAGCCTGACCAACATGGAGAAACCCCGTCTCTACTAAAAATACAAAATTAGCCGGGTGTGGTGGCACATGCTCATAATCTCAGCTGCTTGGGAGGCTGAGACAGGAGAATCACTTGAACCCGGGAGGCAGAGGTTGTAGTGAGCTGAGATTGTGCCATTACACTCCAGTCTGGGCAACAAGAGCAAAACTTGATCTCAAGAAAAAAAAAAAGTTCAATTAAAACTTTAAAGTACAGTGGACTACTGGCTAGAAAACATTAAGTGGGTGGCCGGGCGCGGTGGCTCACACCTGTAATCCCAGCACTTTGGGAGGCTGAGGTGGGCGGGTCACCTGAGGTCGGGAGTTCAAGACCAGCCTGGCCAACATGGCGAAACCCCGTCTCTACTAAAAATATAAAATTAGCCGGGCATGGTGGCACATGCCTGTAATCCCAGCTACTTGGGAGGCTGAGGCAGGGAGGCTTGAACCTGGGAGGCAGAGGTTGTGGTGAGCTGAGATTACACCACTGCACTCCAGCCTGGTCAACAAGAGTAAAACTCCGTCTCAAAAAAAAAAACCAAAAAACCGAAAACATTAAGTGGGTGATGATAGTCAGATTTGGTGGGGCCATTTGAGAAGGAGGGATACCCTCTGAGGGTCAGTGCTGAGCCCCTTCTCTCTTTCAGTTCCCCCAGGTACCACATCGAGCAACTACTCCCTGGGTAACTTCGTACGACTGGGTCTGGCTGCCGTAATTGTGGTTATCATGGGAGCTTTCCTGGTGGAGGCCTGGTACAGCCGGAATGTGTCTCCAGGTGAATCAGAGGCCTTCAAACCAGAGTGACTCCATCTTGAACCGGGGCTGGGTAAACTGAGGCTGCAACCTGCTGGACTGCATTCCCAGGGGGTTGAGGCTTTCTAAGTCACAGGATGAGACAGGTCACAACATACAGGTCACAAAGACCCAAAGACACAAAGATGCAACAAAGAAGCCAGCCAAAACCTGCCAAATCCAAGATGGCAACAAAAGTGACTTCTGGTCGTCCTCACTGCACATTATTTGCTAATTATAATGCATTTGCATGCTAAAAGACACTCCCACCGCCACCAAGACAGCTTACAGATGCCATGGCAACTTCCAGAAGCTAAACGAGGGAGGGACTCTCAGTTCCAGGGAAATCCCCTCCCCTTTCCTGGAAAACTCATGAACAGTCCACCCCTTGTTTAGCATACGATCAAGAAATAACCACAAAAATAGCCGACTGACAGCCCTCTGGACTGCTCTGCCTATGGAGCAGCCATATTCCTTGACTTTCTTAATAAACTTGCCTTCACTTTACTCTGTGTACTCACCCTGAGTTCTTACTTGTGTGAGATCCGAGAACCCTCTCTTGGGGTCTGGACTGGGACCCCTTTCCAGTAACAGATCCAAGTTAAAACACGGATCCCCTCTCTCTTTCATGGGCTGCTGTAGAGATATGGAATTCTCTTCTGCTCCAGATTTATTGAGATCTAATCGACAAATAAAAATGGAGTTATATTTGTGTACAACGTGATGTTTTGATATATTCCATTTTGATTTATCAATTATACCCCCATAAGCCTACGGGTGGGGAACCCTCCTACTAAGTAATTTATTGTGTACCAAGGAAGAAATTTCACTGATTGTGACATGAGTATCACAATGTAGCTAACGAACCTTTCTGTTTAAGATCCACCTTCTGGGAACCTCCCTACTAAATAATTAATTGTGTACCAAAGAAGAAATTTCACTAATTGTGACATGATTATCACAATGTAGCTAATGGACTTTTCTGTTTAAGATCCACCTTCTGGGAACTTTCCTACTAACTAAGTAATTAATTGTGTGCCGAGGAAGAAATTTCACTCATTGTGACAATGGTTATCTCAATCTAGCTTATGGACCTTTCTGTTTAAGATCCACCTTCTTAGCAAATTGTAATTACCCAGTGCAGCCTTGTGAACTGTAGCCGCCCTGCTGTGCATTCAATCCATATGGGGTTCTTTAAACATCAGACTCTACCATGGGGACTTCACACGTTTCTCCACATGGGCACAAATGGTATTTTTTGTTTTTTTGTTTGTTTGTTTGTTTTGAGACAGAGTCTCGCTTTGTCGCCCAGGCCAGAGTGCAGTGGTGCGATCTCGGCTCATTGCAACCTCCGCCTGCCAGGTTCAAGTGATTCTCCTGCCTCAGCCTCCCAAGTGGCTGCAACTACAGGCACCTGCCACCATCTGGCTAATTTTTTTGTATTTTTAGGAGAGACGGGGTTTCGCCACATTGGTCAGGCTGGTCTCGAACTCCTGGCCTCAAGTGATCCACCTGCCTCAGCCTCCCAAAGTGCTGGGATTACAGGTGTGCACCACCGGGCATGGCCACAAATGGTGTTTAAAGTGCAATAGTCCTTCACCATGTGAGACTGTCTTGTCCATTATAGGAACACGTAACTCGACATTGCTAATACTTCCTTTCCCATTGAACACCTGTTGGAGACCTAATTATTGTGAAACAACAACAACAAAAAAGCCACTACTCTCATACCTTTCAAATATCCCTGGATGGGGCGATGGGAAGTGAGGGTGGTGCTCCCCCTGGTTGAAAAGCTGTGTTTGGATGCCGGGAGAAAACAATCTTCCTCCTCTTCCTTCCCCTCTAAGCTCAGCTCTGTTCTTCTCTAGCCATAGATCCCACAGCTGCCCAGGGAATGATGGGTTGGACCAGCTGAGCCTTAACCGCTTTCTGTGGAACCTGCACTCTCAGCTCTGTTGGGATCTGCTGTAGGGCAGGATGGTGGCTTTCTTCTTCCTGTACTTTTCACTGGGGACAGAGGACAGAATTGGGCACAATGAGCCACGTAATACTTTTTTTTTTTTTCTTTGAGACGGAGTCTCGCTCTGTCACCCAGGCTGCAGTGCAATGGCAAGATCTCGGCTCACTGCAACCTCCACCTCCTGGGTTTAAGCGATTCTCCTGCCTTAGCCTCCCAAGTCGCTGGGATTACAGGCGCCTGCCACCATGCCCAGCTAATTTTTGTACTTTTAGTAGAGATGGGGTTTCACCCATGTTGGCCAGGCTGGTCTTGAACACCTGAGCTCAAGTGATCAGCCCACCTCGGCCTCCCAAAGTGCTGGGATTGCAGGCTTGAGTCACCGTGCCCAGCCCTTAATACATTTTTGATAACTTGAATCAATACTTAAAACTTCAGAGTCAGATTGAGTAGTAGGTGACTCTCACCTGCGGGGAACTCTTCCTCCACACGAAGGGAAAAACATTGCTTCCTGTGTAATATTTATTAATACTTCCTCTCCGTTCTTTCTATTTTGTGCTTCTGGACCAGCATTTAGTCCAATATTGGGATATACATATTTATTTATTTATTATATTTATTTATTTTGAGACAGGGTCTCACTCTGTCGCCCAGGCTGGAGTGTAGTGGCTAGATCACGGCTCACTGCAGCCTCGACCTCCCAGGCTAAAGTAATCCTCCCATCTCAGCCTTCTGAGTAGCTGGGACCACAGGTGTGTGCCATCATGCCGGACTAAATTTTGTATTTTTTGTAGAAGCCGGGTTCCACCATATGGCCCAACTTGGTCTCGAACTCTTGGACTCAAGTGATCCTCTCATCTTGGCCTCCCAAAGTGCCAGGACTACAGGCGTTAGCCACTGTGCTTGGTCATATGTATTTATAATACATTCTTTCTTTCTTTTTTTTTGGAGAGGGAGTCTCACTCTGTCACCCAGGCTGGAGTGCAGTGGCGTAATTTCAGCTCACTGCAACCTCCCTCTCAGGTTCAAGTGACTCTCCTGCCTCAGCCTCTCAAGTAGCTGGGATTACAGGCGCCCACCACCATGCCTGGCTAATTTTTGTGTGTTAGTAGAGACGGGGTTTCACCATGTTGGCGAGGCTGGTCTCGAACTCCTGACCTCAAGTGATCTGCCCACCTTGGCTTCCCAAAGTGCTGGGATTACAGGCATGAGCCACCACGCCCAGCCTGTATTTATAATACATTTCTTTTACATTTTATTTTATATGTTTCCAACATTTTACCCAGTTTGGCAGGAATTCCATTCTATCCATGGCATCCATTTGCTTGTAATTGGTAGCCAGTCTTACTGGTGCAGATGTAAAATGTCAACAGTTGCCAGGTGCTGTGGCTCATGCCTATAATCCCAGCACTCTGGGAGGCCGAGGTGGGCGGATCACAAGGTCAAGAGATCGAGACCATCCTGGCCAATATGGTGAAACCCCATCTCTACTAAAAATACAAAAATTAGCTGGGCGTGGTGGTGCATGCCTGTAATCCCAGCTACTCAGGAGGCTGAGGCAGGAGAATTGCTGGAACCCGGGAGGCAGAGGTTGCAGTGAGCCGAGATCTCACCACTGCACTGCAGCCTGGGCGACAGAGCGAGACTCCGTCTCAAAAAAAAAAAAAAAAAAAAAGTCAACATTTATGTTTTGTTGTTACATTTTGTTTTCAAGATTTGTTGCTGTTTCTTGTTAATAGTCTTATTATTTTTCGTAAATATCATTCTTATTTTATAACTATTGTCTCCTCTGTTATAACTCTGAGGATGTGCTTATCAAAGCAATATTCCTCCTCTTCCTCCACTAACCACAGGTTGGTCCTTCTCTATCCACAGACCACACAGCTGCCAAGGGTAGCATGCGCTAGAGCTGCCGATCCTTAGAGTTTCCTGTGCAGCCAGCATTTCCAGCTGTTTGAGAGCCGCACCAGGACAGGACGATGGCTTTCTTCCCATCCTCCTCACTTAGGACAGGACGGGGTGGGCACAGGGACCCATCCAGCAAGTTATTATTTTTGTAGTTATTAAGATAGAAAGTATAGGCCGGGCATGGTGGCTCACACCTGTAATCCCGCCTCAGCCTCCCAAAGTGCTGGGATTACAGCGGTAAGTCATCATGCCCAGACGATTATTTTTTATTTGTATACGTTTATGGGGTACAAGTGTAACTTTATTGCATGGATAGATTCCAAAATGATGAAGTTAGGGCTTTCAGGTATCCACTAACCCAGTGACACACATTGTATCCATTAGATAATTCTTTTTTTTTGATGGAGTCTTGCTCTGTGACCCAGGCTGGAGTGCAGTGGCGTGATCTCAGCTCACTGCAACCTCCGCCTCCCGGGTTCAAGCGATTCTCCTGCCTCAGCCTCCTGAGTAGCTGGGACTATGGGCGTGTGCCACCACGCCCGGCTAATGTATCCATCATCATAACACACAACCATTTGAATGAATCTCACAGGCATTGTGCTGAGTGAAAAAGGTCACCCTCAGAAGGTGAGGCGATGGACGATTCCATTTATACAAGAGTCTCAAAGTGACAAAGTGATAGAGACGTAGAACAGATTAGCAGGTGCTAGGGTGGGAGAGCGATTATAAAGGGGCAGCATGAGGGAGTTCCTACGTGGTGGTGGGACAGTTCTGTGTCTTGATTGTGGCGGTGGTTCTATAAAGCCATACATACAGGCAATAAAATGTTACAGAACTATACCCATAGGCAAAGAAAAGGGAGGAGGAAAAGAAGGTGGAAGAGGAGGAAGAGCAGGAGAAAAGAAGGAAAAGGAGAAAAGGAAATAGAAATAGAAGGAAGAGGAAGAGAAAAAGAGAAACGAATTATGCACAAACTGGTGAGATCTGAGTGACCTCTGGAACCTGGTTAAACGTGTGATGCCAGTGCAAAGTCTCTGGTTTTGAAAATGTGCCATACGCCGGGCGTGGTGGCTCACGCCTGTAATCCCAGCAGTTTGGGAGGCCGAGGCAGGCGGATCGCCTGAGGTCAGAAGTTCGAGACCAGCCTGGGCAACATGGCAAAACCTCGTTTCTACTAAAAAGAACAAAAAAAATTAGCCAAGAGTGGTGGCGGACACCTGTCATCCCGGCAACTCGGGAGGCTGAGGCAGGAGAATCGCTTGAACCCGGGAGGCAGAGGTTGCAGTGAGCCAAGATTGTGCCACTGCACTCCAGCCTGGCTGACAGAGATTCTGTCTCAAAAAAAAAAAAAAAAAAAAAAAGTACTGTAATTATAAGAGATTACCATTGGCCGGGCACAGTGGCTTATGCCTGTAATCCCAGCACTTTGGGAGGCTGAGGTGGGCGGGTCACTAGAGACCAGGAGTTCAAGACCAGCCTGGCCCACATGGTGAAATCCCATCTCTACAAAAAATTAGCTGGGTGTGGTGGTGCATGCTTGTAATCCCAGCTACTTGGGAGTCTGAGGCAGGAGAATCCTTAAACCCATGAGGCAGAGGTTGCAGTGAGCCGAGATCGCGCCACTGCACTCCAGCCTGGGTGACAGAGCAAGACTCTGTCCCCCCCGCCCCCCAAAAAAAGGTTAACATTGTGGGGAGCTGGCTAGTGGGTACACGGAAGCTATAAAGCTATAGGTATTAATGTTTGTTTGTTTGCTTGTTTGAGACAGTTTCACCGTTGTTGTCCAGGCTGGAGTGCAGTGGCACAATCTTGGCTCACAGCAACCTCCGCCTCCTGGGTTCAAGCCATTCTCCTGTCTCAGCCTCCGGAGTAGCTGGGATTACAGGCATGCGCCACCATGCCTGGCTAATTTTGTATTTTTAGTAGAGACGGGGGTTTCTCCATTTTGGTCAGGCTGGTCTTGAACTCCCGACCTCAGGTGATCCGCCCGCCTCAGCCTCTCAAGGTGCTGGGATTACAGGCGTGAGCCACCGCGTCCGGCCGGTATTAGTGTTTTAAAATAAAAAATTACATTTACAGAAAACTCTTGGCAGAACTTCAGATAAGGTAGGACAGAGCTCGGGCGGGTGGGGCCACACACACCGGATTCATGGGGAAGAAGTTATCATCGACGGCTTCTTGTTTCCTGAGTCGGTTGTGAGAAGGAAACTGCAAGAGTGGGGCAGAGAACCAGAGTGTCAGAGCAAAACCTCCTCTATCTGCACATCCTGGGGACGAACCGGGCAGCCGGAGAGCTGCGGCCGGCCCAGTCCCGCTCCGCCTTTGAAGGGTAAAACCCAAGGCGGGGCCTTGGTTCTGGCAGAAGGGACGCTATGACCGCAGAATTCCTCTCCCTGCTTTGCCTCGGTGAGTCTCCAGGACTGGGACGAATGGGCTTGGGCTGGTGAGAAAAACTCATGTGGGAGTGGCAGTCCAGGTGGAAATGCGGTGTGTGGAAGTAATGACTTCCAGGTGTTGCACACCTGCGGTGGGTGGGTCTGGGCTGTGGGTTCTGTGAGTTCTGCCGCCCACATGCAAGCGAGGAGGAGGCCGCGCTGCAGAGACACGGGGACAGACTCCGCTGGGAAAGGCAGAGCTGCTGTGGGGTCTCCGAGTCTGCAGCCGCTAAATACCGCAGTACTGCCATCATCCTCCGTCGGAATAGAGGAGGGCTGGGCTTAGGGATCTACAGGGTGCAAGGCTGTGGGCAAAAAGACAATTTTCTTCTCTCTCTCTCTTATTTATTTATTTATGTATGTATGCATTTATTTATGAGACAGAGTCTCACTCTGTAGCCCAGGCTGGAGTGCAATGGCGTGATCTGGGCTCACTGCAACCTCCGTCTCCCAGGTTCAAGCGATTCTCCTGCCTCAGCCTCCCGAGTAGGTGGGACTACAGGTGCAGGCCACCACACCCGGCTGACTTTTGTATTTTAAGTAGAGACGGGGTTTCACCATGTTGGTCAGGCTGGTCTCGAGCCCCTGACCTCAGGTGATCCGCCCGCCTCAGCCTCCCAAAGTGCTGGGATTACAGGCGTGAGCCACCACACCTGGCCCCAAGAAGACAATTTTCTGACCAGCTCGATTCTTAGGCTGATTTTAACCATCCTCCAATTGAACCTGATGTATTCAGACAGAGCTCACACTGTGAAACGGATGACCTGGGTTATAATCTCGGCTTTACTACATAGAAACTCTAGGCTTGACCCAGCAGAGCTCCACCTCCCTAAGGCCCCAGTTCCTCCCTGGTGCACGGGGGGTGCGGTGGACATCGACGTGCTTCGTCTGCTTCAGTTCCTTCCTCCTTTTCTGGGTGCAGCCCTTCCTTGTGGGGTAATGCTCGTCTCCTACACACATTTGCACCTTAGATGAGCATTTTTTTTTTTTTTTGACAGAGTCTTGCTTTGTCTCCCAGGCTGGAGTGCAGTGGTGTGATCTCAGCTCACTGCAACCTCCACCTCCTGGGTTCAAGCGATTCTCCTGCCTCCGCCTCCCGAGAAGCTGGGATTATAGGCACACGCCACCACGCCTGGCTAATTTTTTGTGTTTTTAGTAGAGATGGGGTTTCACCATGTTGGCCAGGCTGGTCTCAAACTCCTGAACTCAGGTGATCTACCCACTTCAACCTCCTAAAGTGCTGGGATTACAGGTGTGAGCCACTGCACCCGGCTATTTGTGCCTTAGAGATGACTATCGGGTTCATACCCAAGCCTCCAGCTGCTGAGCACAGTAAGCTGGGCAACCAGGAGACTGACCTCATCCCCCAATGGCTGCCATACCAAAGTACTACAAGCCTGGTGGCTTAAAGGAATTAGAATTGCTTTAAGTTGGGGAGATGAGAAGTCTGAAACCAAGGTGTTTGCAATGTTGATTCCTTCTGAGAACTATGAAGGAGCGTCTGTTTTATGCCCCTCTTCTAGTGATGGCTGACAATTCTTGGCATTTTTTTTTTTTCTTGAGGCGGAGTCTTGCTCTGTCACCCAGGCTAGAGTGCAGTGGCATGATCTTTCTCACTGCAACCTCCACCTCCTGGGTTCAATCAATTCTCCTGCCTTAGCCTCCCAAGTAGCTGGGATTACAAGCATGGACCACCATGCCTGGCTAATTTTTGTATTTTTAGTAGAGACAGGGTTTCACCACGTTGGCCAGGCTGGCCTCGAACTCCTGACCTCAGGTGATCTGCCCGCCTCAGCCTCCCAAACTGTTGAGATTACAGGCGTGAGCCAGCGCTCCCGGCATTCTTTAACTTGTAGATGCATCACTCCAATCGTTGGCTCTGTTTTTTTTTTTCTTTTCTTTAGACAGGGTCTCACTCAGTTGCCCAGGCCGGAGTGCAGTGGTACCACCATAGCTCACTGCAGCCTCAACCTCCTGAGCTCAAGCAGTCCTCCCCGCAGCCTTCTGAGCAGCTAGGACTACAGGTGCACACCACCATGTTGGACTAATTAAAATAATTTCTGTTTTAGAGATGGGATCTTGCTATATTGCCCAGGCTAGTCTCCAACTCCTGGGCTCAAGCAATTCTCCTATCTTGGCATCCCAAAGCACTATGATTGCAGCCTGGCCTCTCTGCCTCTGTCTTCGCATGGCCGTCTTCCTTCTGTGTGTCTCTGTCTCTCTTTTTCTCTTCTTGTAAGTTATATTGGATTAGATACCCAGCCTACTCTAGTATGACCTCATCTTAGTTTAATTAATTACATCTGCAAAGATCAGACAATGCTATTTTCAAATAAGGTCACATTCGCAGGTCCTGGGAGTTACAACTTGAACTTCTCTTTTCAAGAAACACAAATCAGCCAGGTGTGGTGGCTCACGCCTGTAATCTCAGGACTTTGGGAGGCCCAGGCGGGCAGATCTCTTGAGGTCAGGAGTTTGAGACCAGACTGGCCAACATGGTGAAACCCCGTCTCTACTAAAAATACAAAAATTAGCTGGGCATGGTGGCAAGGACCTGTAATCCCAGCTACTCGGGAGGCTGAGGCAGGAAAATCGCTTGAACCTGGGAGGCAGAGGTTGCAGTGAGCTAAGATAGCACCGCTGCCCTCCAGCCTGGGTGACAGAGGGAGACTCCATGTCAAAAAAAAAAAAAAAAAAAGAAAAGAAAAAGAATATGGGAATTGGGCTGGGTGCAGGTAGCTCACACCTGTAATCCCAGCATGTTGGGAGGCCAAGGTGGGAGAATCACTTGAACTCAGGTGTTCGAGACCAGCCTGGGCAACATCGTGAGTCCTCATCTCTACAAAAAAATTTTAAAATCAGCCAGCGTGGTGGTGCATGCCTGTAGTCCCAGTTATTTGGGAGGCTGAGATGGATGGATCACTTGAGCCCAGGAGGTTGAGGCTGCAGTGAGCTGTGACTGCACCCTGGCACTCCAGCCTGGGCCACAGAGTGAGACCCTGTCTCAAAAAGAAAAAAGAATATAGGAATCACTGTTTGAACAGACGATGGGTGGATAGCAGAGATGAGATGACATGAATCTAAAAGCGGGATTTGGGGAGGGTCTCAAAACAGAGCCTGAGTCCTGGGATGCCCTGCCCACCCAGAGGCTGTTTCCTACCTGCCAATCCCAGCTAATCTCGCTGCCAACGCAGCTTCGGTCCATCGTGAGGCCTCCACCTCATTCCTCTGTGGTGAAGCTTGGTGGGGGGTCACGTTCTGTATCGGCACCTGTGTCAACAAGGAACCAATGTCCTGAGACACTGTCGTGGCTCTAGAGAATTTCTACCTAAATTCTACGTAACTTCACCCTGAAACAAGCCCCATGACTGACATCCCATTTTCCACCCAAGTTTAAGACGCTACCTTCCCAGCGGGGAATGTAGAGAACAGAACACAGAAGAGGGAGGGGATAATGTAAGTGGAAACCAAAGCTAAAGTGAGGAGAGTATTTGGGACCAGAAGACACGGGGAAGGGGGAGCAGATTCTCTCTATTGGAATTGAGCAAGAAAACCCTCCTCTCGGCCGGGCGCGGTGGCTGATGCCTGTAATCCCAGCACTTTGGGAGTCCGAGGCGGGTGGATCACGAGGTCAGGAGATCAAGACCATCCTGGCTAACACAGTGAAACCCCGTCTCTACTAAAAATACAAAAAAATTAATTAGCTGGGCTTGGTGGCGGGTGCCTGTAGTCCCAGCTACTCGGGAGGCCGAGGCAGGAGAATGGCGTGAACCCGGGAGGCAGAGCTTGCGGTGAGCCGAGATCGCGCCACTGCACTCCAGCCTGGGTGACAGAGCGAGACTCCATCTCGAAAAATAAAAAAAAAAAAAAAACCCACCACTCTCACTCCACGATAAAATAACCTTTGCATTATTTAAGTGGCAAGGGTAAAACTGCAATCAGGCCGGGCACGGTGGCTCATGCCTGTAATCCCAGCGCTTTGGGAGGCTGAGGCGGGTGGATCACTTGAGCTCAGGAGTTTGAGACCAGCCTGGGCAACATGGTGAAACCCCATCTCTACAACAACAACAACAAAAATTAGCTGGGCACGATGGCACACACCTGTAGTCCCAGCTACTCTGGAGCCTGAGGTACGAGTATCACTTGAACCCAGGGGGTGGAGGAGGTTGCAGTGAGCTGAGACTGCACCACTGCACTCCAGCCTGGGTGACACAGCGAGACTCTGTCTCAAAACAAAACAAAACACTGCAATCACAGAAAATACCAGAAAAAAGCATAGGTGAATGTTGAACAATTTCTAGATGGTGAAAGGATTACTCATGAAAGCAATTCAATACATCAGAAAAGGTTGCTGGGCCGGGGGCAGTGGCTCACGCCTGTAATCCCAGCACTTTGGGAGGCCGAGGCGTGTGGATCACCTGAGGTCAGGAGTTCAAGACCAGCCTGGCCAACATGGTGAGACCCTGTCTCTACTAAAAATGCAAAAATTAGCCAGGTGTGGTGGCGGGTGCCTGTAGTCCCAGCTACTCGGGAGGCTGAGGCAGGAAAATTGCTTGAACCTGGGAGGCGGAGGTTGCAGTGAACTGAGATCATGTCATTGCACTCCAGCCTGTGCAACAGAGCAAGACTACATTTCAAAAAAAAAAAAAAAAAAAGAAAGAAGAAGTTGCTGGAATTTTCTCCATACACGTAGCTTCTGAATGACAAACAATGGAACAAAAGTAAGAGGTAAGTCTGGGGAGATATCTGCCAAAAATATATACATATATGTAATACATATATTTAATATATATATTATATTTATATATGTATTATATGTAATATGTGTACATATACTTAATACATTTATTATATATAATACATATATACATTATATATATATATATATCTCAGACCTATAAAGAGCTAGTCATACGTTCTCTGCTGGATTTGTACTCAAGGACAAGCACATAATTTTTCTCTCATTGAGATTTCTCTTCCAGGGCTGTGTCTGGGCTACGAAGATGAGAAAAAGAATGGTGAGTTTTCTCCTACTTAAACTTTTATTCCTGCATCCCACGCTTCATGACCTTTTCCTTTAATCGTCTGAATTCTAGACTCAAATTAACTCTGAATTGTTTCCAGAGAAACCGCCCAAGCCCTCCCTCCACGCCTGGCCCAGCTCGGTGGTTGAAGCCGAGAGCAATGTGACCCTGAAGTGTCAGGCTCATTCCCAGAATGTGACATTTGTGCTGCGCAAGGTGAACGACTCTGGGTACAAGCAGGAACAGAGCTCGGCAGAAAACGAAGCTGAATTCCCCTTCACGGACCTGAAGCCTAAGGATGCTGGGAGGTACTTTTGTGCCTACAAGACAACAGCCTCCCATGAGTGGTCAGAAAGCAGTGAACACTTGCAGCTGGTGGTCACAGGTGAGAAGGGCAGATGTACTCTTTGATGCACACATTTCTTTGGTTTGGCTTTGCTTTTTTTTTTTTAAGACAGAGTCTTGCTGTGTCTCCCAGGCTGGAGTGCAGTGGCACGATCTCGGCTCACTGCAACTTCTGCCTCCTGGGTTCAAGCAATTCTCCCTCCTCAGCCTCCCGAGTAGCTGGGACTACAGGCGCCCGCCACCACGCCCAGCTAATTGTTTGTGTTTTTAGTAGAGATGGGGTTTCGCCATGTTAGCCAGGATGGTCTCCATCTCCTGACCTTGTGATCCACCTGCCTCCGCCTCCCAAAGTGCTGGGATTACAGGCATGAGCCACCGCGCCCGGCCTAATTTTTGTATTTTTAATAAAGATGAGGTTGTACCATATTGGTGAGGTTGATCTCAAACTCCTGACCTCAAGTGATCCATCTGCCTCGGCCTCCCAAAGGGCTGGGATTATAAACGTGAACCTCCACACCCAGCCTTTTTTTTTTTTTTGAGAGGGAGTCTTGCTCTGTTGCCCAGGCTGGAGTACAGTGGCATGATCTCAGCTCACTGCAACCCCCGCCTCCTGGGTTCATGCAATTCACCTGCCTCAGCCTCCCGAGTAGCTGGAACTACAGGGGTGCGCCACCACACCTGGCTAATTTTTGTATTTTAGTAGAGACAGGGTTTTACCATGTTGGCCAGGCTGATCTCGAACTGCTGACCTCAAGTGATCTGCCCACCTCAGCCTCCCAAAGTGCTGAGATTACAGGAGTGAGCCACTGCGCTCGGCTGCTTTTTTTTTTTTTGACAGAATCTCGCTCTGTCACCCAGGCAGGAGTGCAGTGGCATGAACACAATTCACTGCAGCCTCGACCTCCCAGGCTCAAGCGATTTTCCCACATCAGCCTCCCAAGTAGCTGGGAGTACAGGCAAGCACCACCATGCCTGGCTAATTTTTAAATTACTTGTTGAGACAGGATCTATGTTGCCCAGGCTGGTCTTGAACTCCTGAGCTCAGGTGATCCTCCTGCCTTGGCCTCCCAAAGTGCTGGGATTACAGGCGTGAGTCACCAAAGCCTGCCTGATGCACGTATTTCTTTTCCTGTCGTGGGACATGGCTGGGGAAGAAGGAATCTAGGAGACAAAAAGATAGATGCAGGCCAGGCACGGCGCGGTGGCTCATGCCTGTAATCCCAGCACTTTGGGAGGCAGAGGTGGGCAGATCACTTGAGGTCGGGAGTTCGAGACCAGCCTGGCCAACATGGTGAAACCTCACCTCTACTTAAAATACAAAAATTAGCTGGGCGTGGTGGCAGGCGCCTGTAATCCCAGCTACTAGGGAGGCTGAGGCAGGAAGAGAATCTCTTGAGCCCAGAAGGCAGAGGTTGTAATGAGCTGAGATTGTGCCACTGCACTGCAGCCTGGATGAAAGAGCAAGACTCCGTCTAAAAAAAAAAAAGAAGAAGAAGGATAGATGCAACACCTTCAATGTGGAAATGGGAACCGAATGTGGAGCAAGATTCTCATCAGAGATTCTGAGAGGGTCCCAATGATGTGGATGTGGGAGGGTGGTGTAGAATATGGTCAGTTAATAGAAAATTGGGGTATGGTAAGACTGACAGACCAAGTGATGATTGCCATGGAAAAGATGGTCTGTTACAGTTCCCAAGAGGAGGAGGAAGGCTATACTGGGGGGAGTATGTGGGGAAGCACCAGGGTCAATGAGGGGCAGAGGGAGGAGGAAGAACTGTGGACCAGAGCTTTGATTGTATTTTGTGGGGAGAACAAGATTAGAGTTGGCCAGGTGTGGTGGTTCATGCCTGTAATCCTAGCACTTTGGGAGGCCTAGGAGGGTGGATCACCTGAGGTCAGGAGTTTGACATCAGCCTGGGTAACATGGCGAAACTCCATCTCTACAAAAATACAATAATTACCTGGGTGTGGTGGTGTGCACCTGTGCTTTCAGCTACTCGGGAGGCTGAGGCACGAGAATTGCTTGAACCCCAGAGGCAGAGGCTGCGGTGAGCCAAGATCGTGCCACTGCACTCAAGCCTGGGTGATAGAATGAGAACCTGTCTCAAAAAAAAAAAAAAAAAAAAAAAAAGAAAAGAAAAGAAAAGAAAGAAAGAAAAGAAAAACAAAAAAAGAATTGGCTTTGGGGTGTAGAGGCTGTCCCTGGTTGTCTAGTTCTTGGACCTGGGGTGATTAGGAGAGGACAACATTGACCTTGAGTGTGAGAGCCCCATAATTAAGGTGGTTGAGAGTATGGGCTCTGGATCTATTGGCTTGCATTTGAGGGACATCCTTGAGGACAAGTTGTTTACTGGCTCTAGAAATTAACTAACCCTGCGAGGGGAGGTCCCACCAAGGGCAGCAAGGCCCCAAGATGTTAAAGCATCAAATGCAGAAGATGAAAGACATGGTTAATACGGAGAGATGGATGAGATAGTCCCCAAGTGCAGTAGAAAATGGAAAAGCCCTGGCCCTTCTCTTTACCTCCATTGCCTTGTCCTCTTCAGGATCACTCCCAGAACCTTTGCTCTCAGTCAATGTAGACCCTGGGATGACTCCAGGTCTCAGGACACTTCGATGTCTCACTCCATACAATGGAACCGAATGTATTGTAATTGCTCTGTTGAAAATGGGGATCCCAGAACCATTACAAGTCAGGCAAGTAAGAAAAAACCAGACTGATTTCATGCTCTGGAACGTGACAAGTAATGACAGTGGAAACTACAGCTGTGTGTATTACCTGAGCAACTCATCACACTTGGCCTCCTTCCCCAGCAACAAGCTGGAGATCTGGGTGACAGGTGAGGATAGAGTGATAACACTGGCATTTGACATGTATCCAGCATTTTCTATGTTCCTGTCTCCACGACAGGTAACTTGCCTCCACTAACTCATTCAGTCTTCACTTCCTATGAGGGTGGTTGTGTTACTAACTTCTTTTTGCTCATAGAGATTAGGTGACCTCCCCGGTGTCACAAAAACAATGAGCTTCACAGTTGCTATTCAGACATAAATGAAAATTTATATTTCATTATGCCAGAGAAGGAAAGCCAGAAAGAGTGTCCAGTGCTCTATGAGGGATGTAGGAATGGCAAATAATGGATTGTGGGGCTAAGAGATCCCATTGTGTGGAAAAGTATGGGAGGCACGGTGCAGGTAACTGAAAAAAAAATGATGAGGACCACAGTGAGAAGATGCACGTGGGAGGATTGTAACATACATGACTTGAGATCCCAAGGAAGAGGGATAAAGAATAATTTTGCATCACTTTCATCTACCCATTTATCTACTCACCCATCCATCTATCAATCTACCCACCCATCTATCAACCCACCCACCCATCTACCCACCTACCAACCCATCCACCCTCCTACCCACTCATTCACCCATCCATCCACTCACTTATCCATCTATCCATCAACTCATCCATCCATCCATCCATCCATCCATCCATCCATTCATCTATCCATTAATCCATCCAACCACCAACCCTTCCATTCATCTGTCCACCCACCCCTTCATCCATCTATCTACCTACCTACCCATCTATTTACCCAGCCACTCATTTGTCCATCCTTCCACCCATTCATCCACTCATCCACCCTTTCACCCATTCACTCACCCCCACCCACCTATCCATCTATCCATCCATCCATCCATCCATCCATCCATTCATCCATTCATTTATTAGTCACTAAACAATACCTCTCAACTGACCACAGTTGCTTCCAGTAGGTCAGTCCTGCCATATCATGGGAAATCCCTGGAGAGACTTTACAGTCATCAGTGTAGTGTAGAAGTAGCCGTGGGTCCACACCAATGACTTAGCCTGGGCTTGGGGCATGATGAGTAACTGAATACTTAATGTTTCACCTCTGATTTACCCTCTTTCTGAGGCTCTTGATCAATGATACTCCAACAAGGTGCTCATCACTTTGATATTGATTTCAAATTGTATTCCCCATAACTCGTTCTTGTAGTCTTAAGAATTTCTGCACCCACACTTTAGCCCTAAAAGCCTCGCGATTATTTGCCATTTCCCAATTATGTTCTCTGGCATATCATCTACTGTTTCCTGATTTCTTCACCTCTATCGCAGCTGTACCATTACATCACAAGACAGGCTATAGTATCAATTTCCAGTGGTTGATTTTCCAGGTCAGCCTTCCATATACAATCTGTTTGCTGCTTTGCAAATCACTTTATTATACTACTTTTTACTTTTTTATTATACTACTTTTTACTTATTACAAAATGGGCATATAAATGCTTCCATTACAAAAAAAAATTAATGCAAAATACCTGGCACAAAAATAGCTGCCCATTCACCCTACAAATTCAGATACTTTGGTAGATCCTGAGCATATTGTAGGAACTGAGACAGACCAGGTCTCTGGCCAACAGGAGCTCACATTCTTCTTTGGAAGAAAGAAAGAAATAAGAGCAAGCTATCAGAGTAATTAAAAAACACATTATAGATGGAGAATAACTGTGAGAGGCATTGTATTAGTGATCTACAGCTGCATAACAAATTACCACTAATTTAGCAGCCTGAAACACCTATTTATTATCTCACAGTTGATGTGGGTCAGGAGTCCAGGCACAGCTTAGCTGAGTCCTCTGCTTTGGGTCTCATAAGGATGCAATCAAGGTGTCAACAAGGGCTGTGTTCTCATCTGGCTCATCTGGAGGCTTGACTGGGGAAGGGTCCATTTCTCCACTCCTGTGGTTGATAGCAATATCTGGTTCTTTATAGCTGTAGGATTCATGCTAGAATGATTCTGCAGCACTTGCAAGAAGAGAGATTGAGAGAGAGAGAAGAAAGAGAGAGCAAATGCCCTAGCAAACAGAGTTTTATGTAATGTAACATAATCAAGAGCATAAC
Source organism: Homo sapiens (assembly GCF_000001405.40). Lineage (NCBI taxonomy): Eukaryota > Metazoa > Chordata > Mammalia > Primates > Hominidae > Homo > Homo sapiens. The sequence goes on along the minus strand of NW_003571054.1, from coordinate 27,788 downwards.
ATCCCATCACCTTTGCCATAGCTATTGGTGAGAAGAAAGTCACAGATCTCCACACTCAAGGTGAGGGGATTAGACAAAGGCATGAACACCAGGAAGCAGGGCTCCTGAGTCTCCTGAGTGCCCCCTTAGGGTCTATCTGCCACAAGCATGAAGGATGAGAATGACCCAACCACACCGATATCTGGAGAACAGCCCTCCAGGGAGAGAGAGCAGCAAAAGCAAAGTCTCAGAAGTGTGAGTGTTCCTGGAATGATTGAGACACAGAAAGGAGGACATAAGGCAGGGCCTAGAGCATCTAGGATCTTGTGGGTGTTTGAACTGGTCCTAGAGTCTGCTTTGAAAGAACAGGAACCCACTGATGAAGTTGAGCTGGAGGATGGCATGATTTTATTTATATGCTGGAAGGGTCACTGGCTGCTTTTTTTTTTTTTTTTTTTTTTGAGACAGGGTCCCACTCGGTTGCCCAGGCTGGAGTGCAGTGGTGCAATCACAGCTCACTGCAGCCTTGACCTCCCAGGCCCAGGTAATCCTCCCACCTCAGCCTCCCAAGCATCTGAGATTACAGGCACAGGCCATCATGCCCGGCCTCTGGCTGCTTTTGGAAAATAAGGGACTAGATGTAGTAAGAGTTGGTGCGTTTCAGGCAATACGACTTTTTAAATTTAAAAATATCAAATTGACAAATGAAGATTGTATATATTCAAGGTATACAATCTGATGATTTGATCCACCTGTACATTGTGTAATGATTATCACAGTCAAATTAATTAGCACATCCATTGCCACCATGCTGAGCACCTGAACTTCTTCATCTTAGAACTGGAAACTTATACCCTTTCATCAACATCTCCGCATATATCATGCTAAACAAAATAAGCCAGACTCAGAAAGACAAATTCTGCAGGATCTCACTCATATGTGTAGTCTAAAAAAGCCAAACTCACAGAAGCAACTGGTGGTTGCCAGGGACTGGTGAGTAGGTGATATTTCATTTCATTTTTATTTTTATTTTTATTTTTTTTTTGAGACGGAGTCTGGCTCTGTCCCTCAGGCTGGAGTGCAGTGGCGCGATCTCGGCTCACTGCAAGCTCCGCCTCCCGGGTTCACGCCATTCTCCTGCCTCAGCCTCCCGAGTAGCTGGGACTACAGGGGCCCGCCACCACGCTCGGCTAACTTTTTGTATTTTTAGTAGAGACGGGGTTTCACCATGTTAGCCAGGATGGTCTCGATCTCCTGACCTTGTGATCTGCCCGCCTCGGCCTCCCAAAGTGCTGGGATTACAGGCGTGAGCCACTGCGCCCGGCCAAGTAGGTGATATTTTAACTTAGACTAAATGGTGCCACTGTGGAGATAGAAATATAGGCCAGGTGCAGTGGCTCATGCCTGGAATCCCAGTATTCTGAGTGGCCAAGGCAGGTTGATCACTTGAGGCCAGGAGTTTGAGACCAGCCTGGCCAACATGGTGAAACCCTGTCTCTACTAAAAATACAAAAATTAGCAGGGTGTGGTGGCGGGCGCCTGTAGTCCCAGCTACTTGGAAGGCTGAGGCAGGAGAATCTCTTGAACCCGGGAGGCGGAGGTTGCAGTGAGCTGAGATCATGCCACTGCACTCCAGCTTGGGTAACAGTGCAAGACTCAAAAAAAATAAAAGAAAGAAAGAATTTGGGTGAATGGTGTTCTTTGTCAAGATAGAGAAGACTGGCAAGGAATCAAACTGGAGGGGGCGTTAGCAGGGTCATTCATAAATATTTTTGTTATTAAAAATACTATCAAACTCCAGGACTATTAAGAAGAGTAATCTGAGGCTCTGTCCATGCTCTGAGGACCCAGGGAGCATCTAGGGAATGGAGAAGCCATTCTCTTTTCTGCTTCCCAAAGAAGAACAGGATGTCTATAAGTAGGACGTGAGGACTCCTGTCCCCAAGGTTCCTGTATGATTAGTGTAATTCCTTTTCTTCCCTCCTATTTTCTAGATAAACACGATGAACTTGAAGCTCCCTCAATGAAAACAGGTAAGATAATTAGAAAGGAGATGTTTTTCCCAATGAGATCTGCTTCATGATCACCTTTGCTTAAAGTGCACAAGGAGAACTTTATTTATTTGTTTGTTTGTTTGTTTGTTTGTTTTTTGAGATAGAGTCTCGCTTTGTCACCAAGGCTGGAGTACAGTGGCGCAATCTCAGCTCACTGCAACCTTCGCCTCCCGGATTCAAGCAATTTTCCTGCCTCAGCCTCCCGAATAGCTGGGACTACAGGCACGCACCACCACACCCAGCTAATTTTTGTATTTTTAGTAGAGACGGGGTTTCACCATGTTGGCCAGGCTGGTCTCGAACTCCTGACCTTGTGATCTGCCCGCCTCAGCCTCCCAAAGTGCTGGGATTACAGGCGTGAGCCACCGCACACGGCCTATTTATTTTTTTGAGAAAGAGTCTTGTTCTGTCCCCCAGGGTGGCGTGAAGTGGCACAATCTCAGCTCACTGCAACCTCCACTTCCTGGGTTCTGGGTTCAAGCAATTCTCCTGCCTCGGCCTCCCGAATAGCTGGGATTACAGGCACCCACCACCATATCCAGCTCAGTTTTGTTTTTTGTTTTTTGTTTTTAGTAGAGATGGGGTTTCACCATGTTGGCCAGGCTGGTATCAAACTCCTGACCTCAAGCAATTCCCCCGCCTCGGCCTCTCAAAGTGTTGGGATTACAGGCATGAGCCACCGCACCCGGCCTAGAAGAACTTTAAAGCCCATTTTCTCAATGTTATTGGGGAAACTGCTGTGTTTTGGGGGGTGGAGGATGAGGGGAGATAACCTCTAAAGTGCTTCCGGGTTCTGAAGAAGCTGGTGTGTAAAACAGCACAGAGTGCGTTGTTTGCCATATGACATGATGAAAAACTAGGGTGGGATTTGGGGAATAATGGGGGTGAATTTTTCAGTGACCCATTTGGGGAGTAGGACCAGGACCTACGCAGAGTAGGTACTTCAGGAATATATATAATCAAGAGTTTGTTATAACTCTAAAATTCTCAAAAATAGGTGAATATTGAATTTTTTTTCTAATGTTGCTTATTCATTAACAATTGACTAAGATTCTGTCCTCAGAGTTTCTCATAAAAATTAGAGCTTTTGGGCCAGGCGAGGTGGCTCACATCTGTAATCCCAGCACTTTGGGAGGCCGAGGTGGGCGGATCACCTGAGGTCAGGAGTTCGAAACCAGCCTGGGCAACATGGTGAAACCCTGTCTCTACTAAAAATACAAAAATTTGCTGGGCATTGTGGTGGGCGCCTGTATTCCCAGCTACTCAAGTGACTGAGGCAGGAGAATTGCTTGAACCTGGGAGGCAGAGGTTGCAGTGAGCCGAGATTACACCACTGCCCTCCAGCCTGGGCAACAGAGTGAGACTCTGTCTCCAAAAAAAAAAAAAAAAAAAAAAAATTAAAAAGTTAGAGCTTTTGGCAGCATTCGGCTGAAACAGGAACTCATCCAGACTTTAAGGGCCAAATGCAGAATATAAATTGGCATCTAGATGCTTAATCATCCTTCCTTTCAGCAAGTCATAATCTTCCTGCAACCTACTCCAAAGAGCCAAAGTTGCTGAAGGTTGTTGCTAGCAGTCTGTGCTGGTATAATCGGTTTTCAAAAAGGTATCCTCCAAAGTGTTCTTGCAAGATAACTATTTGAAACGTTTTTATTCCATGATAGTAGGCTTGGGAAATGTCTGCTACCCTAGCACTACGAACACAATTCACGTCAGGAACGTTTTCTGAGAAAGATATGAAATCTAATGGGAGAGAGGAACACAGAAGTATCAGAAACGAGGTGGGAGATCTAGTGAGGTGTGAGGGGGAGGAGGAAGAGAAGCTTTTCTATTTTGAGCTCTTGTATCATTTATTTTCTTTCTTTTTTTATTGATATATAATTCACAGTCCAAAAATTCACCCTTGTAAAGTGTCCAATTCACTGGCATTTTGTATCTTCATGAGGTAGTATAACCATCACCACTACATAATTCCAGAACATTCTCATCACCCTAAAAGAAAATCTTGTACCCATTAAGCAGTCACTCCTCATTTCCCACTTTCCCACCAGGCCCTTCCAACCATTCATATGCTTCTCTGTGTCTATGATTTTGTCTATTCTGGACATTTTGTGTAAGTGGATTCATACACTATGTGATCCTTTGTGACTAGCTCCTTTCTCTTTAGCATAATGTTTTCAAAGTTTGTCTGTACTGTAGCATGCATCAATGTTTCATTTCTTGTCATGGTGAAAAGCATCGTATTGTATGGATAGACCACATTTTGCTTATCCATTCTTTTTTTTGTTTTTGTTTTTGTTTTTTTGAGACGGAGTCTTGCTCTGTCGCCCAGGCTGGAGTGCAGTGGCACAATCTCAGCTCACTGCAACCTCCGCCTCCCAGGTTTAAGTGATTCTTTTGCCTTAACCTCCTGAGTAGCTGGACCTACAGGCGCCCGTCACCATGCCTAGCTAATTTGTGTATTTTTAGTAGAGAGGGGGTTTCACCATGTTGGCTAGGCTGGTCTCGAACTCCTGACCTCAGGTGATCCACACGCCTCAGCTTCCCAAAGTGCTGGGATTACAGACTTGAGCTACTGTGCCTGGCCCCGTTCTTCTTTTGATGGACATTTGTGTTGTCTGCACCTCTTGGCTAAAGCGAGTAATGGTGCTGGAACACTGTGGTAGGAGTATCTGTTTGTCTCCGCGCTGTAAATTATCTTGAGTATGTACCTAGAAGTGGATTTGCTAGGACATATGGTGACTATTATGTTCAACTTTTTGAGGAACTGCCAAATCATTTTCCATTGTGGCTGTATCATGTTATATTCCTTCCAGTAATATATGTGGGTTCCAATATCTCCACATCCTTGTCAACACTTACTTTTCTTTTTTTAAATTATAGCCATCCCAGTGGGTATTATATAATTTCTTAAAATGTACTTTTTGAGTTCAAATTTGTATCATCACAATTCTAAACAGAATAAAATATCTTTGCCGGGCGCAGTGGCTCACGTCTGTAATACCAGGACTTTGGGAAGATGAGGCAGGAGGATCACTTGAGCCCAGGGGTTCAAGACCAGCCTGGACAACTTGGTAAGATCCCATCTCTACAAAAAATACAAAAATTAGCCAGGCGTGGTGGTGTGCACCTGTAGTCCCAGCTACTTGGGAGGCTCAGGCAGAAAGATCGTTTGCGCCCAGGAGGTTGAGGCTTCAGTGAACTGTGATTGCGCCACAGCACTCCAGCCTGGGTGACAGAGCGAGACCCTGTTTCAGTAAATAAATAAAATAAAAGTAAAATATCTGTAAGCACAGGTATGATGTCCCCAGCCTGTATTTATATGCCTAAAACACACTAGAAAACGACTCTATGTTCAATCGCAATGTAGAGAATGAAGATGAATTTTATCACACAAGACTTGACTTTCTTTCTGGTGCCTGTGCCTCCATTTATGCCCCGTGTCAGGCTGTATCTTGTTGCTCACGCTGACTTTAGTAGCGTAGCAAGTTATGATTTATTCTGGCAATTTGCAAATACTGATGCAACATTTGGCCAGGATCTGTGGACATCTCAGGGTGAACCCAGTTCAGCTGATTATGGGGTCATATGAAGATGAGAATTTTGCAATAATGTACTTCTCATTTCTAGTGAATTGCTGTGTGAAAGATACCGTAGGCTGGAAAAGGGGAGAACAGAAAGGACAAGGCAAGGCTGCTGTTTCTCTGCTTCCATCTGGGGAAACTGAGAGTCCAGGAGCAGCTGTTCCTGCCCTGTTTTCATAAGTCCTTGGAGATGCACTGATAGAATTGTTGCTTATGGCCAGGCATGGTGGCTTATGTAATCCCAGCACTTTGGGAGGCCAAAGTGGGCAGAACACTTGAGCTCTGGAGTTTGAGACCAGCCTAACCAACATGGTGAAACCTCATCTCTACTAGAAATATAAAAAATTAGCGGGGTGAGGTGGCGGGTGCTTGTAATCCCAGCTCCTTGGGAGGCTGAGGCAGGAGAATTGCTTGAACCCCAGAGGGGGAGGTTCCAAAGCCGAGATTGTACCACTGCACTCCAGCCTGGGAGACAGAGTGAGACTGTCTCAAAAAAAAAAAAATTGTTGCTTTTGAGGGGTTCTCTGATTCAGCTCCACCAGAAGCAGGCTCTTAGACAGCATTAGTGTGAAAGTGACGTTTTATTTTATTTATTATTTATTTAGTTTTGAGACAGAGTTTCGCTCTTGTTGCCCAGGCTGGAGTGCAATGGCGTGATCTTGGCTCACTGCAACCTCCGCCTACCAGGTTCAAGAGATTCTCCTGCCTCAGCCTCCCAAATAGCTGGGATTACAGGCATGCACCACCACACCCAGCTAATATTCTATTTTTAGTAGAGACGGGGTTTCTCCATGTTGGTCAGGCTGGTCTCGAACTCCTGACCTCAGGTGCTCTGCCTGCCTCGACCTCCCAAAGTGCTGGGATTACAGGTGTGAGCCACCACGCCTGGCTTGAAAATTACATTTTAGGGAGTGGGGAAGAAGGGCTGGGAGGAAAATAGATTAAACAAGTGTGGGATATCTGTGTCCCTCAGATGGTATCTTTGGCTCCATCCTGCAGAAAGCAGTGGAGACAGAGAAGGTCGAAGACCAGAGGCTAGGGAGCTGGGGTCCCCACAGCCGTCAGTGGCAGTTTGTCCCGGGCATGTAAATTCCAAGGCATTTGGAGTTCTCCCAGGCAGTCCCCCAAAGAAGAGATACAAATGTTCACTTTGGAAAGGGAAAGAAGCCACGATCTAGAATGCATAAAAATGGGAAAGGGATCTGGGGAACATGGGTTGAGGAACATTGACAGAATCTATTACAGAGAGAGATGGGTGTAGGTGGAATATTGGGTGAAAAAAAATCATCATTATACCTACAATCCCATTATCCGACACAATGAGTCAGTTTCTAGACTGAGCGCTTTAAAGCCAGGATTTTTCATCATTACCTAACTCTTCAAGTTAGATATTATTAGCTCTCTGCCCCCTCCTTATATTTAACCAAAAAATAACGTATTCCAGAAAGGGAAGGGAACATTTACAAAGTCAGGAGGTAGGAGACCCAGTACTAGAACTCAAATATGTCTTGTTTCAAACTCCCCACTCCTTTTGCTGCTCCCTGATGATCAGCTCAGAAAGAACCTTATTTCAGGGAGGGGGATAGATAGATAATTAGATGTGATAGATAATAGGCAAGTAGGCAGATAAATAGATAACTAGATATGATAGATTAGATAGATACATAGATGATAGGTAGATAAGTAGCTAGATACGATGGACAGATTAGATAGATAGACAGATGATAGGTAAGTAGGTAGATAGATAACTAGATACAACAGGTTAGATAAGTAAGTAGATAGATAACTAGATATGATAGATTAGATAGATAAATAGACGATAGGTAAGTAGGTAGATAGATACAGATAGATTAGCTAGCTAGCTAGATGATAGATAACTAGATATAATAGATAAGATAGATGATTAGATAGACAGATAATTAGATATGATTGATAGATACATTAGATAGATGATAGATTAGATAGATAGATGATAGGTAACTAGGTAGCTAGATAAAGCTAGCTAGATAGATAGATAGATATACAGATACACAGATAGATACATAGATACCTAGATAGGTGATAGAGTTGCAAGATAGAAAAATTAGATAAGTAGGTGGATAGATAGATAGATAACTAGATAGAATAGATTAAATAGATAATAGTAGGTGAATAGACAGATACATACAGATGATAGATGATAGATGATAGATAACTGGTTATGATTGATAGATACATTAGATAGATGATAGATTTGGTAACTAGATGATAGGTAAGTCGGTAGATAGATAAGTGATAATTAGATATGATAGGATGGATAGATTAGACAGACAGCAGGTAAGCAGGTGGATAGACAGATAAAGATAGATACATAGATGCCTAGATAAGTGATAGATTAACAAGATAGAAAAATTAGACAGACAGATAGTTAATTACATATGATAGGATAGATAGATTGGATAGGTGATAGGCAAGTAGGTAGATAGATAAATCATAATTAGATAGGACGGATAGATTGGATAGATGATAGGTAAGTAGGTACAGAGACAGATAAAGATAGATAGGTAGATAGATAATAGATACCTAGACAGATGGTAGATAGATTAGCGAGATAGATAAATTAGATAGGTAATTCTCTATATATAGATATGTAGAAATGCCAATGCAAACATAGCGAACCAAGTAGGGGAAGCGTCTGGATGGGAGACCCTCTGTTGGTGCAGAGGACCAGGCGTGTGAAGCATCTCAGACTTGGCTCTGTAATGTGACCACAGATCATTGCACACCTAGGAAAAATTCTCAGACTCAAAGCACACTAACAAAGATAGCGGGGGTCTTGGTGAAGCCCCTTTCTGGGGCCTCACTTCTATAGTTGCTCAACTTTTTTCCTTAATCACGTTTCTGCTACTTACTCCTTAAAGTCTCACGACTTGTGTTTCTTGAATCTAAAGTGCCAAGAAAAACAAAAAACGGGGGGGAACTGCATGGACTCTGTCGCCTAGCTTTAGTAACAGGTTGCTCTCTCTTCCTCAACGCTGTGAGCTTTGGACACAACCCTTGCTGTAATCCCAGGAGTCACACGGGAATGCATGCCCTTCACCAGTGGGAGGGAAATAATTGTACTACCTTGCAGGGTTGTTGTTAAGACTTTAAAACGCTATGATGTAGACTTGCATGGCAATATTGCTCAAGAACTAGTTTTTTTTGTTTTGTTTTGTTTTTGTTTTTTAATTGGTAGAAATTTTATCTCCTGAGAGGGATGCTTTTTTGAGTTGGAGTCTTGGTCAGTTGAGTGTATGATGCAGTGATGCGATCTCGGCTCACTGCAACCTCCGCCTCCCAGGTTCAAGCAATTCTCTTCTCTCAGCCTCCTGAGTAGCTGGGACTACAGGCGTGCGCCACCATGCCCAGCTTATTTTTTATATTTTCAGTAGAGACAGGGTTTCACCATGTTGGCCAGGCTGGTCTCGAACTCCAGACCTCAAGTGATCCACCTACTTCACTCTCCCAAAGTGCCAGGATTACAGGCGTGAGCCACCGTGCCCGGCCACTGGTCATTCTTTTCTACCCTGCTCTAACCCTGTTCTTATTAGGAATCCTCCCTGAATTCTCCCAGCTGATCCCTTGTTCTGTGTCTTGGGGAATCATGTCTCCTTCAGAGAGCCCCACCCCTCCCCACTCTAAACGCCTTCCATGCCCGTGTCACTGCTGTTCATTACCTGGCATCAACGAGCTCATTGAAGTGTGTTTGAAGTTGGCTGGGCGTGGTGGTCTGTACTCCCAGCTACCCTGGAGGCCGAGTGAGGAGGACCACTTGAGCCCAGGAATTCGAGTATGATCACACCACTGCACTCTAGCCTGGGCAACAATGGGAACCCATTGGCACATCTGGGATTGGCATCCTGAGCTCCCATCTGTGACCTCCCTCCTCTCCCCTCCTCTCCCCTCCATTGCCCTCACCCTCTCCCCATAATCTTCACATCCCGTCCTTTCACATCTCTCTCTCTCCTTTAAAAAAAGAAAAAGGAAATATGTTTGAAGTTAAGAGCTGAGATCATGTCTGTGTTAGCCAGGGTTTTCCAGAAAAACAGAACCAATAGAACATATAGATATAAGCTGGGTGTGGTGGCTCACGCCTGTAATCCCAGCACTTTGGGAGGCCGAGGCAGGCAGATTGCCTGAGGTCAGTAGTTCAAGACCAGCGTGGCCAACATGGCGAAACCCCGTCTCTACTAAAAATACAAAAATTAGCCGGGCGTGATGGTGGGCACCTGTAATCCCAGCTACTCAGGAGGCTAAGGCAGGAGAATTGCTTGAACCCGGGAGGCGGAGCTTGCAGTGAGCCAAGATTGCACTATTGCACTCCAGCCTGGACGATAAGAGTGAGACTTTGTCTCAAAAAAAAAAAAGAGAACATATACATGTATATACATATATGGAGAGAGAGATTGATTTTAATGGATTGGTTCACGTGATTGTGGGGAGCTGGCAAGTCTGAAATCTGCAGGGCAGGCAGGCAGGGGATCCAGGGGAGACTTGATATTGCAGCTTGAGTCTGGAGGCAGAATTCCTTCCACCTTGGGGGACCTCAGTCTTTTCTCTTAAAGTCTTAAAGTCTTCAACTGATTGGATGAGGCCCACCCCTATGACAGTGGGTCATCTGCTTTACTCAAAGTCTATTGGTCGAAATGTCCAGCTCCAAGGAAGTTCCAGCTCCAAGGTGGGAGATCCAGGCTTGGAAGCCAGGCCATCTGTCTGGCTTCTCTTAGCTTTTCTACTCACCCCATCAGTGGATTTCAGACAGTGATTACACAGACAGATGTGGTGGCTCACGCCTGTAATCCCAACTACTCAGGAGGCTGAGTCAGGAGAATTGTTTGAACCAGGGAGGTGGAGGTTGCAGTGAGCCAGGATCACACTCCAGCCTGGGTGACAGAACACGACTCCATCTCAAAAAAAAAAAAGTGTGTATATATATATATATATGTATATATATATATATATATATATATATATATACACATTTATATATACACACACATATATATACATTTATATATATATATACACACACACACACGTATATATATATATGGAGCACCTGGAACAGAGCTGGCTCACAATAAATGATCAATATCATTGCTATGCACCAAACATTCCCTGGGAATTTTTGGAATTTCCTATGCGCCAAGCACTGTTCCAGCCCTTTCTATAGGTACTGACCCACCATCCAATAAAGTAGCTACTGCTGCTATCCTCACTTTACAGATGGGGAAACAGAAGCTTGGAGAAGATTAAGGAAATTCCCCAAAGCAATAGGAAGTTCCAGCTCCGAGGTGGGAGATCCAGGCTTGGAAGCCAGGCCATCTGTCTGGCTTCTCTTAGCTTTTCGGCTCGCCCCTATCAGTGGATTTCAGGAGCCAGGCTGATTCCCTGACCTGCTCTTCCCCCTCCAGACACCAGAACCATCTTTGTCGCCATCTTCAGCTGCATCTCCATCCTTCTCCTCTTCCTCTCAGTCTTCATCATCTACAGATGCAGCCAGCACAGTGAGCTCAGAGAACGCAAAGGGAGAGAGGGGGAGTGAAGGATTTTCTCGGTAGGTAAATTCCTCCTGCATTTTTTGTAGGTTCATCATCTGAGGAATCCACCAAGAGGTAGATGCTTGGCATAGCTCATGCTCCACTTATTCCCATGTCATTCTCAAGGGAACCCATTGGCACATCCGGGATTGGCACCCTGAGCCCCCACCCCAGCCCATTCTGTGACCTTCCTCCTCTCCCTTCTTCTCCCTTCCTCTCCCCTCCATTGCCCTCACCCTCTCCCCGAAATCTTCACATCCCATCCTTTCACGTGTGTCTCTCTCTTTCAGAACCAGCCATTCCAAACTTCCGGAGCAGGAGGCTGCCGGTAAGGGACAGGGGAAGTTTAAGGGAATCACCGGATAGAAAGACTAAGTTCTGACTTCTGCAGCTGAGAACTGATTTTTTTTTTTCCTTTCTCACTCAGAGGCAGATTTATCCAATATGGAAAGGGTATCTCTCTCGGTGAGTCCTCCCGCTTAGGAGTCCCACAAGAGCTCCCTCACCACAATGGGCTGGTCGTGTGTGCCTCCTGGTTAAGCCCATACAGAAATGTATACTGTTTATCACGCATGTGGTCTTAGACAAGTCACGAAACTCCCCTAATGGGAACCAAAATCTCCATTTAAAAGGCTTATGCATGGGCCGGGCGCGGTGGCTCACGCCTGTAATCCCAGCACTTTGGGAGGCCGAGGCGGGCGGATCATGAGGTCAGGAGATCGAGACCATCCTGGTTAACATGGTGAAACCCCATCTCTACTAAAGATACAAAAAATTAGCTGGGCGTGGTAGTGGGCGCCTGTAATCCCAGCTACTCAGGAGGCTGAGCCAGGAGAATGGCTTGAACCCGGGAGGCGGAGGTTGCAGTGAGCCGAGATCACGCCACCGCACTCCAGCCTGGGCGACAGAGCCAGACTCTGTCCCAAAATAAATAAATAAATAAAAATTTAAAAAAAATGAAAAAAGGCTTACGCAGATCCATTGATGTCACAGGCATAAAGGGTTATAAAAACAGAAAAGAAAAAGAAATGCATCTGGTGTGACCGAGGACCTGGGTTTTAAATTAAATTTAATTGTAATTAACTTAAATGTCAATAGCCATGTGTGGCTAGTGGCTGCCATATTGAACACTCAGTTCTAATATTCATCTATTTTCTCCAAAGACGGCAGACCCCCAAGGAGTGACCTATGCTGAGCTAAGCACCAGCGCCCTGTCTGAGGCAGCTTCAGACACCACCCAGGAGCCCCCAGGATCTCATGAATATGCGGCACTGAAAGTGTAGCAAGAAGACAGCCCTGGCCACTAAAGGAGGGGGGATCGTGCTGGCCAAGGTTATCGGAAATCTGGAGATGCAGATACTGTGTTTCCTTGCTCTTCGTCCATATCAATAAAATTAAGTTTCTCGTCTTAAAAAGAAATCTGACTTATTTATGGATTATTCATGCCCAAGAACCCCACCATACTCTTTCTACCCCACATTTCCTCCTAGAACAATTCAAGGAAATAATAAATAATGATTGACCAGCTATCCAGGAAAGAATGTAAGAATTACTGAGCATCTCCAGGAAGCACAACAAGCAAAAAAGAAAACGGCCGGGCTCACGCCTGTCATCCCAGCACTTTGGGAGGCCGAGGTGGGTGGATCATCTGAGGTCAGAGTTCAAGACCAGCCTGACCAACATGGTGAAATCCCATCTCTACTAAAAATAAAAAATTAGTTGGACGTGGTGGCAGGCGCCTGTAATCCCCGCTACTTGGGAGACTGAGGCAGAAGAATCGCTTGAACCCAGGAGGCAGAGATTGCAGTGAGCTGAGATGGCGCCATTGAATTCCAGCCTGGGCAATGGAGTGAGACTCCATCTCAAAAAAAAAAAAAAAAAAAAACAAAAAACGCCCAGAGCTGCAAACTCCTAGACCAGAGGGCAGAAAACAAAAGGACCAGAGAGTAACACGTCCAGCTTTGTGGGCTGTAGGATCTCTGCTGAGACTACCCCACTCTGCTGTTGTACCATGAAAGCAGCCATCGCTGATATGTAAACAAGTAGGTGTGGCGGTGTTAGAATAAAACTTTATTTACAACTTCATGTTCTCACTCATGTAGGAGCTAAAAAAGTAGATCTCATGAAGGTAAAGAGAGAGTCAGTTATCAAAGGCTAGAAGGGGTGGGATAGTTAATGGGCACAAACACAGTTGGATAGAAGGAATAAGTTCAAGTGTTCAATAGCACAGAAGGGTGACTATAGTTAACAGCAATATATTGTATATTTCAAAATAGCTAGAAGAGAAGATTTGAAACATTCCCAACACAAACGATAAATGAGCCAGGTGCAGTGGCTCACTCCTGTAATCCCAACACTTTGAGAGGCCAAGATGGGTGGATCACCTGAGGTCAGGAGTTCAAGACCAGCCTGGCCAACAAGGTGAAACCCCATCTCCACTAAAAATACAAAAATTAGCTGGGTGTGGTGGCGCACACCTGTAATCCCAGCCACTTGGGAGGCTGAGGCAGAAGAATTGCTTGAACTCGGGAGGCAGAGGTTGCAGTGAGCCAAGATCACACCACTGTACTCCAGCCTGGGCGACAGAGAGAGACTCTGTCTCGAAAAGATAAAAAAAAAGATAAATGTTTGAGGTGGTGAATATCCTAAATACCCTAATTTGAGTATTATACATTCTGTGCATGTATCAAACTATCACATGTATGTCATAAATATGCATAAATATTATGTATCTATAGAAAGTTTTTTTTTTTTTGATGGAGTCTTGCTCTGTCGCCCAGGCGCCAGAGTGCAGTGGCGTGATCTCAGCTCGCTGCAACCTCTCCCCGCAGGTTCAAATGATTCTCCTGTCTCAGCCTCCTGAGTAGCTGGGATTACAAGCTTCTGCCATCACACCAGGCTAATTTTTTTGTATTTTTAGTAGAGATGGGGTTTCACCATGTTGGCCAGGCTGGTCTTGAGCTCCTGACCTCAAGTCATCCGCCTGCCTCGGCTTCCCATAGTGCTGGGATTACAGGCGTGAGCCACCGTGCCCAGCCCAGAAAGTTGTTTTAAAAACAAAAAATTTTATTTGCAAAAACAAGCTGTGGGCTCTAGCGTGCCAACCCTTGTGCTAGGCCAGTGCTTTTTAAAGTCTGCTTGGGCCATCACCCCAACCACTTCTGGCCCTGATGAGGGTCCAGGGCATGAGAGGGAAGGAGAGAGTGTCTTAGTCCATCCAGGCTGCTATCAACATACCAAAGACCTGGCAGCTTACAGACAACACATAGTTATTTCTCATGGTTCTGGAGGCTGGAAGTCCAAGACCAAAGCACTGGTAGATTCAGTGTCTGCTGAGGGCTTTTTTCCTGGTTCATAGCTGGCACCTTCTTGCTGTGTCCTTACATAGTGAAAGAGACTGGGCCGGGCGCAGTGGCTCACGCCTGTAATCTCAGGACTTTGGGAGACCGAGTGGGGGGCGGATCACCTGAGATCAGGAGTTCGAAACCAGCCTGACCAACACGGTGAAACCCCATCTCTACTAAAAATATAAAAATTAGCTGGGCGCAGTGGTGGGTGCCTGTCATCCCAGCTACTTGGGAGGCTGAGGCAGGAGAATTGCTTGCACCTGGGAGGCGGAGGTTGAAGTGAGCCGAAATCGTGCCACTGCACTCCAGCCTGAATGACAGAGCCAGACTCCATCTCAAAAAAAAAAAAAAAAAAAAGAGTGAAGGCTTAATAAGCAAAAGAAAGAGAAAAGAGAATAGTTCTCTCTTTTGCACAGAGAAGAGAGGGGTTCCCGAGTGGGACCCCTGGTTTTGTGGTGAAATGCATGGGGCTTTTATAGACAAGCTTGAGGAGGTGCTGTCTGATTTACATAGGGCCTGAGAGATTAGTCGGACCAGGTATGACGTTTGCATAGCCCCCAAAGAAGCTGGCCATCCCACCCTAATCTTTTATTACGTAGGTAGGGTCTCTGCCTGGCCGGGGCCATGTTGTCTGCTTTTTTACTGCACATGTGGGGACAAAGAAAAGGGAAGAGGGAACCTCCATGTTGAATATACCCGGCTCCCAGGCATCCGTTTTCTATTGGCACAGCTGATGCAAGATTTTAGCTTGTTTATCTATGCTTGCAGCTTGATGTTTCAGGCTGCTTTCTGTTAGAAAAGAAATTATTTGGGGGCTGCTCTTTATTAATAGGAAACCTTACTGAGGACTCTCTTACCCTCACTGTCTGCCTCAATAATTTCTTTTTAGCTCCCGTATTACAAATACCATCACCTTGGGGTTAGGTTCCAACAGCTGAATTTTGTCGGGACACAAACATTGAGTTTACAATACCCATGAAGCTGTCTCTGCTTGTATCTTGTCCTAACCAGAAGCTCCCAGGATTGCTGCATCTGAAGGAACAACCTTGATATATGGCTTGTGTCTGTGTCCCCACCCAAATCTCATCTTCAGTTGTAGCTCCCATAATTCCCATGTGTTGTGGGATGGACCCAGTGGGAGATAATTCAATCATGGGGGTGGATTCCTGCAGGGTCCTATGGGGCTTTGCAGGTGTTCTCCCCGTGTGCAGAGATAAGAGATTGTAAGAAATAAAGACACAAGACAAAGAGATAAAGAGAAAACAGCTGGGCCCGGAGGACCACAACCATCAAGACGCGGAGACCGGTAGTGGCCCATAACGGCTGGGCGCGCTGATACTTATTGCATACAAGATAAGGGGGCAGGGTAAGCAGGGTGAATCTTCGAAGTGATTGACAAGGTGAAGCAAGTCGTGTGATCACAGGAGAGGGGGCCCTTCCCTCTTAGGTAGCCGAAGCAGAGAGAGAGGGAGAAGGCAGCATACGTCAGCGTTTTCTTCCATGCACTTATAAGAAAGATCAAAGACTTTAAGACTTTCACTATTTCTTCTACCGCTATCTACTATGAACTTCAAAGAGGAGCCAGGAGTACGGGAGGAGCATGAAAGTGGACAAGGAGTGTGAGCACTGAAGCACAGCACCACAGGGAGGGGTTTAGGCCTCCGGATGACTGCGGGCAGGCCTGGATAATATCCAGCCTTCCACAAGAAGCTGGTGGAGCAGAGTGTTCCCTGACTCCTCCAAGGAAAGGAGACTCCCTTTCA
Organism: Homo sapiens; assembly: GCF_000001405.40. Classification (NCBI taxonomy): domain Eukaryota; kingdom Metazoa; phylum Chordata; class Mammalia; order Primates; family Hominidae; genus Homo; species Homo sapiens. The sequence continues at coordinate 11,500 of NW_003571054.1, read as the reverse complement.
CCGTCTGCTAAGTAACGGGTGCCTTCCCAGACACTGGCGTTACCGCTTGACCAAGGACCCCTCAAGCGGCCCTGATGCACGCGTGACAGAGGGCTCACCTCTTGCCTTCTAGGTCACTTCTCACCATGTCCCTTCAGCACCTGACCCTATACCCGCCGGTTATTCCTAGGTTATATTAGTAATGCAGCAAAGAGTAATATTAAAAGCTAATGATTAATAATGTTTATAATAATGATTGATAATTGTCCATGATCATCTCTACATCTAATTTGTATTATGACTATTCTTATTCTATTTTCTTTATTATACTGCAACAGTTTGTGCCTTCAGTCTCTTGCCTCAGCACCTGGCTAATCCTCCACCCACACATTCCCCCATGCCGTTCTCATGGTAGTGAACAAGTCTCAGGAGAGCTGAGGTTTTTATAACGGGTTTCCCCTTTTGCTTGGCTCTCTCATTTCTCTGTCGTCTGCCACCATGTAAGATGTGCCTTTCACCTTCTGCCATGATTGTGAGGCCTCCCCAGCCATGTGGAACTGTAAGTCCGTTATACCTCTTTTTTAAAAAGTAAACTGACTGGGCGCAGTGGCTCACGCCTGTAATCCCAGCACTCTGGGAGGCCGAGGCGGGTGGATCATGAGGTCAGGAGATCGAGACCATCCTGGATAACACAGTGAAACCCCGTCTCTACTAAAAATACAAAAAATTAGCCGGGCGCGGTGGCGGGCGCCTGTAGTCCCAGCTACTCAGGAGGCTGAGGCAGGAGAATGGTGTGACCCCGGGAGGCGGAGCTTGCAGTGAGCGGAGATCGTGCCACTGCACTCCAGCCTGGGTGACAGAGTGCGTCTCAAAAAAATAAATAAATAAAAATAAAAATAAAAATAAATTACTCAGTCTCAGGTATGTCTTTATCAGCAGTGTGAAAACAGACTAACGCAAACTTCTTCGCTCCCCCTCCCCTCACTACACAGTCCCAGGTTGCAGTGTGGAGGCCACATAGGGAGTAGCAAGGTGGGGAGGAGTGTCTCTTTGTTTTCTTGCCACAGAGAGTCATTCTTTTTTAAGCTTGGGAGTTCTTGGTGGCCATCTGTCTCGCCATGTGGAGGAAGCCAGTCTTTATGGAGAAACACAAAGATGACTCAGGGAGCATCCGGGAAGCGGGAGTGAGTAACAGTGCTTTCAGCTTTTGTTTTCTTGGTTCTAATTGCTTCCAAAGCTCAGCATTCCTTCACTCCCTGCAGTTTTCTTGCCCAATCCTTCTTGAACCAAAAAAACCCAAAAAGTCCTCCTTTGATTCTAAGCTATTCTGAGAATGGATTTTGTTTTGATTGAAGGGTCCTGGCAAACATTATTAAAATGGGTGGCCCTAATGGATATCCTTTATGGACATCTATGCTGGTAGTCACACTCACTGAATTACCATAGTGAGGACTCAGCTCTGATTTTTTTTTTTTATCTTGCCCAGATTCTTATCTAAGGGGTCTGGGGTCTCATGCCCTACAAACCATAAATTCTCATCAGATGGGTTTTATTTAGCCCTATATATCGTGACTTACTTTCCAATCTGACTCTGGCATAACATTACCTAACAAAGAAGAAAATAAAAATATTTTACCCCAAAACATGTTTCTTTGCCATATTTTTAAATGGCCCTGCAAAGCTGTCCTTGGTGGGGGGGAATATTTGCATATGTAAAGGATCTCTGTTAACATTGCTAGATCTTTTTCCTCCAGGACCTCCCAATCCTGAGGAGGTTAACTGAGAATCTAGCAACTTTTGAAGGTCTGAGTAGGAAACATTTGTCATCTATTGTCTCTAAGGGCAGCCACTATAAGACTTCAAAAGAACCTTGGTCTCCACAATCTTTTATCTTAACCTGAATATTTCCTCTCTATTAATCCCAGGTCTTTAGACAAACTCAACCAATTGTCAACCAGAAAATGTTTTAATTTACCTAAAGCCTGGAAGGCCCTGCCTCCTTCAAATTGTCCAGCCTTTCTGGACCAAACCAATGTATTTCTCAAATGTGTTTGATTGATGCCTCACGCCTCCCTAAAATGTATAAAACCAAGCTGCCCCCCGACCACCTTGGGTACATGGTCTCAGGACCTCCTTAGGGCTGTGTCAGGGGCCATGGTCATTATCATATTTGGCTCAGAATAAATCTCTTCAAATATTTTATAGAGTTTGACTCTTTTTGTCAACAAGAGTAAGTCTTGATATGTGATACGATCTGAGGGAGGCTCGGATCCACAGCTGGGGTTTGGACAGCTGTAGCATCACCCTGGGAGCTCCCGCCCCAACTCGGAAGGGGCAGGGCTCCCTGCGGCTCCATAGCGTGTATAGCCCGGGCTGGGCCTCCCTGGGGCAGGTGGCGTCATGGCAGCAGCAAGCCGTCTGGAGTGGCTGCTGCCATCACCAAAGGCCCAACCTCTCAGATCACATTGGGTGTCAAGATTTAACATGAGGCCGGGCGCGGTGGCTCACGCCTGTAATCCCAGCACTTTGGGAGGCCGAGGTGGGTGGATCATGAGGTCAGGAGATCGAGACCATCCTGGCTAACATATCTCTACTATAAATACAAAAAATTAGCCAGGTGTGGTGGCGGGTGCCTGTAGTCTCAGCTACTCGGGAGGCTGAGGCAGGAAAATGGCATGAACCTGGGAGGCGGAGCTTGCAGTGAGCCGAGATCCATCATTGCACTCCAGCCTGGGTGACAGAGCAAGACTCTGTCTCAAAAAAAAAAAAAAAAAAAAAGATTTAATATGTGGCCAGGCGCGGTAGCTCACACCTGTAATCCCAACACTTTGGGAGGTCAAAGTGGGAGGATCATGGGGTCAAGAGATCGAGACCATCCTGGCCAATATGGTGAAACCCTGCCTCTACTAAAAATACAAAAATTAGCTGGGAATAGTGGCACACGCCTGTAGTCCCTGCTACTCAGGAGGCTGAGGCAGGAGAATTGCTTGAACCCAGGAGGCAGAGGTTGCAGTGAGCCGAGATCACACCATTGCACTCCAGCCTGGGCGACAGAGGGAAACTCTGTCTCAGAAAAAAAAATAGAAAAGATCTAACATATGAATCTGTGGAAAGCACCGCCATGCAGCACAGGCCCAGGATTTGAAGTAAACTGAAGAGGCTCAACACATGTGGAGGTGGCTTTGTAAATAACTTCAGGAAACTAACTGAGGGTCATGTACCAGCAGGAGCAACTTCATAAAGGGGCCATGGAGAACCTGAGTTCCTTGCTGTTAAAAAGGAATATATAAATCCTGTTAGTTCAGAGAAAGCACAGATCATCAGTCTGATGAGGATAGGGCTTAATTATGGGCTGAATTACATCTCCTCAAAATTCGTGTGCTGAATCCTAACTCCCAGTAACTCAGAATGTGACTGTATTTAGAGACAAGAGGCCGTTGTGAAAAAAGGAAATTTGGACATAAAAAAGACACTAGGGGCTACGTGTGGTGGCTCACGCCTGTAATTTCAGCACTTTGGGAAGCCCAGGTGGGCGGATCGCCTGAGGTCAGGAGTTCAAGACCAGCCTGGCCAACATGGCCAAACCCCATGTCTACTAAAAATACAAAAATTAGCTGGGCGCGGTGGTGCACGCCTGTAATCCCAGCTACTCGATAGGCTGAGGCAGGGGAATCGCTTGAATCCAGGAGGCAGAGGCTGCAGTGAGCTGAGATCGTGTCATTGCACTCCAGCTGGGCAACAGAGTAAGACTCCAACTCAAAAAAAAAAAAAAGAAAAGGACACCAGGATATGTACATCCAGAGGAAAGACCACGTGGAGACACAGCAAGAAGGCGGCCATCTGCATACAAAGCAGAGAGACCCCGGGAGAAACTGACCCTACTGGCACCTCCATCTTGGATTTCCAGCCTGCAGAACGGTGAGAAAATCCATTTCTGTCCCATAAGCCCCCCAGTGGGGGGCATTTTGTTATGGCTTCCCTAGCACACAACTGTAGGTGGTAAACATATTTTAAACATTATAGTGATCATTTGTAAAAAAAAAAAAAAAAAAAAATTCAAAGAAATATATTTTCTACAGCTTCTCTTTATGATACCCTATGTTCCAAAGGCTACCTATTGTATTTTCTAGAAGACTATAAGAATTTTTCACACATGCTGGGGCCTGTCAGAGGGTGGAGGGTGGTAGCAGAGAGAGGATCAGGAAAAATAACTAGTGGGTACTAGGCTTAATAACTGGGTGATAAAATAATCTGATAATCAGGAAGTAGTAAATACACTAGAAAAAAAATAATCTGTACAACAAACCCCCATGACACACGTTTACCCGTGTAACAAACCTGCACATCCTGCCCATGTACCCCTGAACTTAAATGTCAAAAAAAAAAAAAGAATTTTTCTAGTATCATGCCAGGCTCTGTGGTTCATGCCTGTAATCCCAGCACTTTGGGAGGCTGAGGCAAGTTGATTGCTTGAGCATAGGAGTTCGAGACCAGCCTGGGGAAAATGGTAAAACCCTGTCTATACTAAAAATACAAAAATTAGCTGAGCATGGTGGTGCATGCTTGTAGTCCGGGCTACTCTAGAGGCTGAGGCAGGAGGATCGCTGGAGCCCAGGAGGTGGAGGCTGCAGTGAGCCATCATTGCACCACTGCACTCCAGCCTGGGTGACAGAGTGAGACCCTGTCTCAAAAAAAAAAAAATCAATTTTTCTAGTGCTATACATTTAATTTTTTTTTCTGTTATGAACATTAGGTTTCTTTGCCTTATTGTTTCAAATTCTTTGGAAGCATTGTTCAATCAATCACATGAGCACAATAGTTGGTACAAAACAGTCATTATTTTGAAAGACCATCACCTGATATGAACAGTTCATTCATAAACTTGAGCCTTTTTTTGTTTTTGTTTTTGTTTTTGAGACAGAATCTTGCTCTGTTGCCCAGGCTGGCGTTCAGTGGCACGATCTCTGGTCACTGCAACCTCCACCTCCCAGGCTCAAGTGATTCTCCTGCCTCAGCCTCCCAAGTAGCTGGGATTACAGGTGCCTGCCACCACGTCCAGCTAATTATTTATTTATTTAATTTATTTTTTGAGACGGAGTTTCACTCTTGTCACCCAGGCTGGAGTGCAGTGGCACGATCTTGGCTCACTGAAACCTCCACCTCCTGGGTTCAAGCAATTCTCCTGCCTTAGCCTCCTGAGTAGCTGGGATTACAGGCGCCCACCACCATGCCGGGCTAATTTTTGTATTTTTCGTAGAGACGGGGTTTCACCATGTTAGCCAGGCTGGTCTCAATCTCCCAGCCTCAGGTGATCTGCCTGCCTCAGCTTCCCAAAGCACTGGGATTACAGGTGTGAGCCACCGTGCCTGGCTGAGTTTGTTTTGTTTTAAAGACCTCAGGGATGTACCTCTAATTGACACTACATCACATTAATCAATAGCTGCACTTTTTGCAAACTGTGGCTATGACAGTCCTGAACAAGAAGGGTTTCCTGCTTAAGCTGCAGTAACTTTTCTGACTATGGATCATTGTTCCTTCTGTGGCAGATTTTTACACCTCCTCTAATGCATTTGGGATGACTGTCTCCAAGTAACCTGCAGCTTTCCTCACTGTCTCTCCTGCTAAGAACTGTTGCCCTTTTCTGCTGTTTTTAGAACCTTCTGTTTTCATATCCACCAGTTCCACGGCCAGATCTATAACGACCACCAGAGGGACTGCCTGAGCTTCTTCCACCAAAACTGCCCCGCATAAACTTGAGCTTTTAAGCGGCATTATATATAAGCCCTATACGAGTTTAACTTGATCTTGTTAAGGTAAACAATCTGTTCAGTCTCACTTTCTTTTTGCATTGATAATTTTAATAATGTCTGATCATTTACTTTCTAAAATCACAAATGCAGTAGCAAGTTTTGGCCAGTTTCATTTTCTTAACTTTTCTCCTCCACATGGGACATGCTACGGGAAGAGGCTTAGAATCGTGGAAAGAGGAGAGTCATCTGCTTTCAGTGCTGGATACAAGGGCAGGTTGTGTGACCTTGGGAACACGTGTTAAAATCTCCAGAACTGCATGTGCCTTTCCTCATCGTGAAGACACAGATCTCGAATAGGGTTGTTGTAGATAGTATGACCAACTGTTACCGTTTTACCAGGATTGGTGTGTGCAGGGGCGTGTGTGTGTGTCTTAGGATGTGGGACTTTCGGTTTTAAAATAGAAATGAGGAATTTCCCAGGACACAGAAATTTCAGGGCTAAACCAGAGAAAATCCTGGGCGAACCGGAACAATTTGGTTGCCCTAGTTGTAAGCACGTGAGTTGCAAAGATGTAGGTGTGATTATTCCCTTGATTCAGTAAACAATTTTTTTCTTTTTTCCCATTGCCCTATCAACCCAACTCCTAGGTCTAATTCTTTACCTGTGCCCTTGGGTGACATGTAAAGCAAGTCTCATAACTTTTTTTTTTTTTGAGACAGTCTTGCTCTGTTGCCCAGCCTGGAGTGCTATGGTGCAGTCATGGTTCACTGCAACCTCTGCCTCCCAGGTTCAAGTGATTCTCCTGCCTCAGCCTCCCGAGCAGCTGGGATTACAAGCATGTGCTACCACGCCCAGCTAATTTTTGTATTTTTAGTAGAGACAGGGTTTCGCCATGTTGGCCAGGCTGGTCTCGAACTCCTGACCTTAAGTGATCCGCCCACCTTGGCCTCCCAAAGTGCTAGGATTACAGGTGTGAGCCACTGCGCCCGGCCTTCTCATAATTTTTATAGTCATCTTAGGTCATAAAGACTTCCAGCTGCTTCTTAAAAAAGTCACATACAAGAAAAAAATACAGTGTCAGCTCAGTGATTAAAATCCTTTCGGCAGGTTGCCTGCAACGTGGAGGAAGCGTGGTCAGCTTTTCCTTTATCTCCCCACGTGGAGCTTCTCCTGCTTCCCCCACTCTCTTGCAAGGCTGCAGACCTCTCACCTGCAGTTCCCTTGATGCCTGTAAATGCAGCTCCTCCACTTGGTCACATTACTGAATCCTTGGGGATCCGTCAGTACATTTCCAGCTTCTCTCTGCAGACTTCACCTCCTACCTCCAGGTGGCGCTCCTGCAAAGGATAAAAGCTCCTGGTACATTCATTCTCATATTCATTCTCTCTCCCCCCTCTCCCCCCCTCCCCCATTTCTCCCCTCTCCCCTCTCTCCCCTCCCACCCTCTCTCTCTCCTCCCACCCTCTCTCTCCAGTGAGGAAAGACCCTGTGTTAGCCCGTTCTCACACTGCTATAAATAGCCGAGGCCGTGTGTGGTGGCTCACACCTGTAATCTTAGCACTTTGGGAGGCTGAGGTGGGCGGATCACTTGAGGTTAGGAGTTCGAGACTAGCCTGGTCAACATGGTGAACGCCACCTCTACTAAAAATACAAAATTAGCCGGCTATTGGCGCATGCCTGTTGTCCCAGTTACTCGGTAGGCTGAGGCAGGAGAATCGCTTGAACCCAGGAGGCGGAGGTTGCAGTGAGCTGAGATTGCACCACTGCACACCAGCCTGGATGACAGGGGGGCTCAGTCTCAAAAAAAAAAGAAAGAGATTTAATTGACTTACAATTCCACATGGCTAGGGTGGCCTCAGGAAACTACAGTCATGGCAGAAGGGGAAGGAGAAGCAAATATCTTCTTCACAAGGCAACAAGAGAGAGAGAAGAGCAAGCAAAGGAGGAACTTGCCAAACGCTTATAAAACCATCAGATCTCCTGAGAACTCACTTTATCATGAGAACAACAAGGTAGAAGCCACCTCCATGATTCAATCACCTCCCACCAGGTTCCTCCCCCAACACCTGGGGATTACAATTCAAGATGAGATTTGGGTGGGGACATAAAGCCAAACCATATCAGACCCCATTCCTCTCTGGACCCGCCCCTCACCCCATATAACTACTCTGAATTGTCCAGTTGAAGAGACTGTCATCCTCCATCACACATCTACGGTGGACAGAGGATGGGACTCACAGCACACCAACAGCTTACGTAAACAAACACACAGAAACAAAACAAAACAAAAACTCTTCTAATCTCTGGAGACTATTATTCTAAGTGAAGTAACTCAGGAATGGAAAACCAAACATCATATGTTCTCACTGATATGTGGGAGCTAAACTATGAGGATGCAAAGGCATAAGAATGATACAATGGACTTTGGGGACTTGGGGGGAAAGGTGAGAGGGGGGCGAGGGATAAAAGACTATAAATGGGGTGCAGTGTATACTGCTTGGGTGATGGCTACACCACAATCTCACAAAGCACCACTAAAGAACTTACTCATGCAACCAAACACCACCTGTATCCCAATAGGAAAAAAAATACCTTCTAATCTCAACACTCCTTTCTTTTTTTTTTCTTTTTTTAATTTTTATTTATTTATTTATTTTTATTTTATTTTATTATTATTATACTTTAAGTTTTAGGGTACATGTGCACAATGTGCAGGTTAGTTACATATGTATACATGTGCCATGCTGGTGTGCTGCACCCACTAACTCGTCATTTAGCATTAGGTATATCTCCTAATGCTATCCCTCCCCCTTCCCCCCAACACTCCTTTCTTACCTTCAGGTGGACAAGAGGCCAAGGGTGTGGGGAAATTAGGTTTTCAGCATTTTCTCCTGAAGTCATGCAGAAATGGCCTTACTGTGAGATCTGACCTCGCTGGCATCTATAATCTTTGGGCCTGAGCAGAAACTGAGATTGCAATGAATCTACTTTGACATTCTGTTATATACATGTGCAAAAACCTTGGGAATACTGGGTATGAGCAGTTTGGAAGGAGAATGGATGGTAGGAATTCATTTTCATAAAAAAAAAAAAAGCTCATGAATAAGTGCACAAGAAAATGTAAGATCAGCCGGGCACAGTGGCTCACACCCGTAATCCCAGCACTTTGGGAGGCCGAGGCAGGCAGATCACCGGAGGTCAGGAATTGGAGACCAACCTGACCAACACAGAGAAACCCTGTCTCTACTAAAAATACAAAATTAGCCGGGCGTGGTGGTGCATGCCTGTAATCTCAGCTAATGGGGAGGCTGAGGCAGGAGAATCACTTGAATCCGGGAGGTGGAGGTTGTGTTGAGCTGAGATCGCACCACTGTACTCCAGCCTGGGCATCTCTAAAATATAAAAATTAGCCAGGCTTGGTGGCGGGCGCCTGTAATCCCAGCTGCTCAGGAGGCTGAGGCAGGAGAATCGCTTGAATCTGCGGGGTGGAGGTTGCTGTGAGCCAAGATGGTGCCACTTCATTGCAGCCTGGGCGAAAGAGTGAGACTCTGTCTCAAAAAAAAAAAAAAAAAAAAAGAGAACCCAGACCTGGAGTGGTGTCTCACGCCTGTAATCCCAGTATGGTGTCTCACTGCAGCCTTGACCTCCTAAGCTCAAGTGATCCTCCCGCCTCAGCTTCCTGAGAAGCTGGACGCACAGGCAAATGCTAATTTTTAAAAACTTTTTTGTAGAGATGGGATTTTGCCATGTTGCCCAGGCTGGTCTTGAACACCTGGGCTCAAGAGATCCTTCTGCCTCAGACTCCCAAAGTGCTGGGATTATAGGCGTGAGCTGCCACACCTGGCCTCCAGAACTATTTTAAAATAAAAAGTTAAGCCAGGTGAGGTGGCTCGCTCCTGTAATGCCAGCACTTTGGGAGGCTGAGGTGGGCAGATCACTTGAGGTCAGGAGTTTGAGACCAGCCTGGCCAACATGGTGAAGCCCTGTCTCTACGGAAAATACAAAAATTAGCTGGGCATAGTAGCAGGTGCCTGTAGCCCCAGCTACTCGGGAGGCTGAGGCAGGAGAATTGCTTGAACCCAGGAGGTGGAGGTTGCAGTGAGCCGAGATCGCGCCACTGCACTCCAGCCTGGGCGACAAGAGCAAGACTCTGTCTCAAATAAATAAATAAAAAGTTAATTTTTTGGAAAGGATGAGATAAAAAGCAGACGAAGGGCATAGAAAGGCCCTTCCAACGCGGCCCTCTCCAACATGAGGAAGCCTCCCACGAGATTTCCACTCACATCTCAAGAAACACAATTGCATCCAGCCCCTTCCTTAAATAACCACTAGCAGTGGGCGTGAGTTTACCTAACTGGGCTAAAGGTGTTTAAACTTCAGTGTGCATCAGAATCACCTGGAGGACTTGTCAAACCATAGGTTGGAGAGGAGGAGAAAGGAAAAGCTCACCTTCAGAGTTTCTGACTGATTCAGTAGGTCTGGGGTGGGGCTCAAGAATTTGCCTTTCTGACGAGCTCCCAGGTGATGCTGACGCTGCTGGTTCAGGGACCACACTTTCACAACCAGCACGTCACTAAGCCTTAGACTAATCAAGATTCATGCCTGAAACTAGAAAAGGGCCAAGTCTCCAAGGAACAAGGGTGGCCAACTGACACCTGAACAAAATCAGGGTTCTCGGCTGGGTGCGGTGGCTCAGGCCTGTAATCCCAGCACTTTGGGAGGCTGAGGTGGGCGAATCACGAGGTCAGGAGTTTGAGACCAGCCTGACCAACATGGTGAAACCCCGTCTCTACTAAAAATTCAAAAATTAGCTGGGTGTGGTGGCGAGCACCTGTAATCCAGCTACTGGGGAGGCTGAGGCAGGAGAATCACTTGAATCTGGGAGGTGGAGTTTGCAGTGAGCTGAGATTGCACCACTGCACTCTAGCCTGGGCGACAGAGCAAGACTGCATCTCAAGAAACAAAAACAAAAACAAAATCAGGATTCTCTTAGCAGAGAAGATTTTGGATTTTGAGAAACACCTGTCCCTTATATCGTACGATGACTTTTCTCTTATTTTTTCTGATCTTAATATAATTATATCAGCTTCCTGGAGAAGTTCCTCCACCACATTTTCTTACTTGTTCATTTTTCTTCAGCTGTATCAATTCTGCCTTTTTTTTTTTTTTTTTTAAAGAGACACGGTCTCACCATGTTGCCCAGACTGGTCTCGAACTCCTGGTCTCAAGTGATCATCCCACCTCAGCCTCTCAAAGTGCTGGGATTACAGGCGTGAGCCACGGCACCCACCCTACTGCCTATTCTGTTAGAGGATAATGTTATATATTTTTTACCATCATGTATTTTTATACTTTTTATTTCCATAAGCCTCTTGCTTTATGGAAAATTGTTCTTGTTTCATATTGCTAATATGTGTCCTTTTTTAGTATGTTTCTTTTTTTTTCTTTTTATTTTTTGAGACAGGGTCTTGCACTGTCACACAGACTGGAGTGCAGTGGCACAATCATAGCTCACTGCAGCCTTGACCTCCCAGGCTCAAGCAATCCTCCTGCCTCAGCCTCCCAAGTAGCTGGGGCCACAGGTGTGCACCACCACACTGGGCTAATTTTTTTTTTTTTTTTTTTGTAGAGATGGGAATCTCACTATGTTGCCCAGGCTGGCTTTGTTAAGAAGTACATTTCTTATGCTAATTATAAATTCTTGATCTATCTGACACCTCCTCCCCCGAAAAAAACACTCTCATTGCTTCACCACACCAAGCAACTGACA